>NC_000002.12:93598795-93694676 GCF_000001405.40 Homo sapiens
GTGTGGTGGCTCATGCCTGTAATCCCAGGACTTTGGGAGGGCAAGGCAGGAGGAACACTTGAGCCCAGAAATTTGAGACCAGCCTAGACAAGATAGTGAGACCCTGTCTCTACAAAAAATAGAAAAATTAGCCAGGCCGGTAGTCTCTACAAAAAAAAAAAAAAAAAAAATTTAGCCAGGTGCGGTGGTGCATGACTCTAGTCCAAGCTACTTGGAAGGCTAAGGTGGGAGGATCATTTGAGCCCAGTTGATGGCGCCCATCACAAATTGTATTCTGAGAATGCTTCAGCATTCTCAGAAACTTATTTGTGATGTGCGCCCTCAACTAACAGTGTTGAAGCTTTCTTTTGATAGAGCAGTTTTGAAACACTCTTTTTGTAATATCTGCAAGAGGATATTTGGATAGCTTTGAGGATTTCGTTGGAAACGGGATTAATTATACAAAGCAGACAGCAGCATTCTCAGAAGCTTCATTGGGATGTTTCAATTGAAGTCACAGTGTTGAACAGTCCCTTTCATAGAGCAGGTTTGAAACACTCTTTTTGTAGTATCTGGAAGTGGACATTTGGAGCGCTCTCAGGACTACGGTGAAAAAGGAAATATCTTCCAAATAAAGCTAGATAGAAGCAATGTCAGAAACTTTTTCATGATGTATCTACTCAGCTAACAGAGTTGAACCTTTCTTTTGAGAGAGCAGTTTTGAAACACTCTTTTTGTGGAATCTGCAAGTGGATATTTGTCTAGCTTTGAGGATTTCGTTGGAAACGGGATTACATATAAAAAGCAGACAGCAGCATTCCCAGAATCTTGTTTGTGATGTTTGCATTCAAGTCACAGAGTTGAACATTCCCTTTCAGAGAGCAGGTTTGAAACACTCTTTTTGTAGTATCTGGATGTGGACATTTGGAGCGCTTTCAGGCCTATGGTGAAAAAGGAAATATCTTCCCCTGAAAACTAGACAGAAGCATTCTCAGAATCTTATTTGTGATGTGCGCCCTCAACTAACAGTGTTGAAGCTTTCTTTTGATAGAGCAGTTTTGAAACACTCTTTTTGTAAAATCTGCAAGAGGATATTTGGATAGCTTTGGGGATTTCTTTGGAAACGGGATTGTCTTCATATAAACTCTAGACAGAAGCATTCCCAGAAACTTCTTTGTGATGTTTGCATTCAAGTCACAGAGTTGAACATTCCCTTTCAAAGAGCAGGTTTGAAACACTCTTTTTGTAGTATCTGTATGTGGACATTTGGAGCGCTTTCAGGCCTATGGTGAAAAAGGAAAGATCTTCCCCTGAAAACTAGACAGAAGCATTCTCAGAAACTTATTTGTGATGTGCGCCCTCAACTAACAGTGTTGAAGCTTTCTTTTGATAGAGCAGTTTTGAAACACTCTTTTTGTGGTATCTGCAAGTGGATATTTGTCTAGCTTTGAGGATTTCGTTGGAAACGGGATTACATATAAAAAGCAGACAGCAGCATTCCCAGAAACTTCTTTGTGATGTTTGCATTCAAGTCACAGAATTGAACATTCCCTTTCATAGAGCAGGTTTGAAACACTCTTTTTGTACTATCTGGATGTGGACATTTGGAGCGCTTTCAGGCCTATGGTGAAAAAGGAAATATCTTCCCCTGGAAACTAGACAGAAGCATTCTCAGAAGCTTCATTGGGATGTTTCAATTGAAGTCACAGTGTTGAACAGTCCCTTTCATAGAGCAGGTTTAAAACACTCTTTTTGTAGTATCTGGAAGTGGACATTTGGAGCGCTCTCAGGACTGCGGTGAAAAAGGAACTATCTTCCAATAAAAGCTAGATAGAAGCAATGTCAGAAACTTTTTCATGATGTATCTACTCAGCTAACAGAGTTGAACCTTTCCTTTGAGAGAGCAGTTTTGAAACACTCTTTTTGTGGAATCTGCAAGTGGATATTTGTCTAGATTTGAGGATTGCGTTGGAAACGGGATTACATATAAAAAGCAGACAGCAGCATTCCCAGAAACTTCTTTGTGATGTTTGCATTCAAGTCACAGAGTTTAACATTCCCTTTCATAGAGCAGGTTTGAAACACTCTTTTTGTAGTATCTGGATGTGGACATTTGGAGCGCTTTCAGGCCTATGGTGAAAAAGGAAATATCTTCCCCTGAAAACTAGACAGAAGCATTCTCAGAATCTTATTTGTGATGTGCGCCCCCAACTAACAGTGTTGAACCTTTCTTTTGATAGAGCAGTTTTGAAACACACTTTTTGTAAAATCTGCAAGAAGATATTTGGATAGCTTTGAGGATTTCGTTGGAAACGGGATTGTCTTCATATAAACTCTAGACAGAAGCTTTCTCAGAAACTTCATTGTGATGTTTCAACTGAAGTCACAGTGTTGAACAGTCCCTTTCATAGAGCAGGTTTGAAACACTCTTTTTGTAGTATCTGGAAGTGGACATTTGGAGCGCTCTCAGGACTACTGTGAAAAAGGAAATATCTTCCAATAAAAGCTAGATAGAAGCAATGTCAGAAATTTTTCATGATGTATCTACTCAGCTAACAGAGTTGAACCTTTCTTTTGAGAGACCAGTTTTAAAACACTCTTTTTGGGGAATATGCAAGTGGATATTAGGCCAGCTTGGAGGATTTCGTTGGAAACGGGAATCCATATAAAAAGCAGACAGCAGCATTCACAGAAACTTGTTTGTGATGTTTGCATTCAAGTCACAGAGTTGAACATTCCCTTTCATAGAGCAGGTTTGAAACACTCTTTTTGTAGTATCTGGATGTGGACATTTGGAGCGCTTTCAGGCCTATGGTGAAAAAGGAAATATCTTCCCCTGAAAACTAGACAGAAGCATTCTCAGAAACTTATTTGTGATGCGCGCCCTCAACTAACAGTGTTGAAGCTTTCTTTTGATAGAGCAGTTTTTAAACACTCTTTTTGTAAAATCTGCAAGAGGATATTTGGATAGCTTTGAGGATTTCGTTGGAAACGGGATTGTCTTCATATTAACCCTAGACAGTAGCATTCTCAGAAGCGTCATTGGGATGTTTCAATTGAAGTCACAGTGTTGAACAGTCCCTTTCATAGAGCAGGTTTGAAACACTCTTTTTGTAGTATCTGGATGTGGACATTTGGAGCGCTTTCAGGCCTATGGTTTAAAAGGAAATATCTTCCCCTGAAAACTAGACAGAAGCATTCTCAGAAACTTATTTGTGATGTGCCCCCTCAACTAACAGTGTTGAAGCTTTCTTTTGATAGAGCAGTTTTGAAACACTCTTTTTGTGGTATCTGCAAGTGGATATTTGTCTAGCTTTGAGGATTTCGTTGGAAACGGGATTACATATAAGAAGCAGACAGCAGCATTCTCAGAATCTTATTTGTGATGTGCGCCCTCAGCTAACAGTGTTGAAGCTTTCTTTTGATAGAGCAGTTTTGAAACACTCTTTTTGTAAAATCTGCAAGAGGATATTTGGTAGCTTTTGAGGATTTCGTTGGAAACGGGATTGTCTTCATATAAACTCTAGACAGAAGCATTCTCAGAAGCTTCATTGGGATGTTTCAATTGAAGTCACAGTGTTGAACAGTCCCTTTCATAGAGCAGGTTTGAAACACTCTTTTTGTAGTATCTGGAAGTGGACATTTGGAGAGATCTCAGGAATACGGTGATAAAGGAAATATCTTCCAATAAAAGCTAGATAGAAGCAATGTCAGAAACTTTTTCATGATGTATCTACTCAGCTAACAGAGTTGAACCTTCCTTTGAGAGAGCAGTTTTGAAACACTCTTTTTGTGGAATCTGCAAGGGGATATTTGCCTAGCTTTGAGGATTTCGTTGGAAACGGGATTACATATAAAAAGCAGACAGCAGCATTCCCAGAAACTTCTTTGTGATGTTTGCATTCAAGTCACAGAGTTGAACATTCCCTTTCATAGAGCAGGTTTGAAACACTCTTTTTGTAGTATCAGGATTTGGACATTTGGAGCCCTGTCAGGCCTATGGTGAAAAAGGAAATATCTTCCACTGAAAACGAGACAGAAGCATTCTCAGAAACTTATTTGTGATGTGCGCCCTCAACTAACAGTGTTGAAGCTTTCTTTTGATAGAGCCGTTTTGAAACACTCTTTTTGTAATATCTGCAAGAGGATATTTGGATAGCTTTGAGGATTTCGTTGGAAACGGGATTGTCTTCATATAAACTCTAGACAGAAGCATTCTCAGAAGCTTCATTGGGATGTTTCAATTGAAGTCACAGTGTTGAACAGTCCCTTTCATAGAGCAGGTTTGAAACACTCTTTTTGTAGTATCTGGATGTGGACATTTGGAGCGCTTTCAGGCCTATGGTGAAAAAGGAAATATCTTCCCCTGAAAACTAGACAGAAGCATTCTCAGAAACTTATTTGTGATGTGCGCCCTCAACTAACAGTGTTGAAGCTTTCTTTTGATAGAGCAGTTTTGAAACACTCTTTTTGTAATATCTGCAAGAGGATATTTGGATAGCTTTGAGGATTTCGTTGGAAACGGGATTAATTATAAAAAGCAGACAGCAGCATTCTCAGAAACTTATTTGTGATGTGCGCCCTCAACTAACAGTGTTGAAGCTTTCTTTTGATAGAGCAGTTTTGAAACACTCTTTTTGTAATATCTGCAAGAGGATATTTGGATAGCTTTGAGGATTTCGTTGGAAACGGGATTAATTATACAAAGCAGACAGCAGCATTCCCAGAAACTTCTTTGTGATGTTTGCATTCAAGTCACAGAGTTGAACATTCCCTTTCATAGAGCAGGTTTGAAACACTCTTTTTGTAGTATCTGGAAGTGGACATTTGGAGCGCTCTCAGGACTACGGTGAAAAAGGAAATATCTTCCAATAAAAGCTACATAGAAGCAATGTCAGAAACTTTTTCATGATGTATCTACTCAGCTAACAGAGTTGAAACTTTCTTTTGAGAGAGCAGTTTTGAAACACTCTTTTTGTGGAATCTGGAAGTGGATATTTGTCTAGCTTTGAGGATTTCGTTGGAAACGGGATTACATATAAAAAGCAGACAGCAGCATTCCCAGTAACTTCTTTGTGATGTTTGCATTCAAGTCAAAAAGTTGAACATTCCCTTTCATAGAGCAGGTTTGAAACACTCTTTTTGTGGTATCTGGATGTGGACATTTGGAGCGCTTTCAGGCCTATGGTGAAAAAGGAAATATCTTCCCCTGAAAACTAGACAGAAGCATTCTCAGAAACTTATTTGTGATGTGCGCCCTCAACTAACAGTGTTGAAGCTTTCTTTTGATAGAGCAGTTTTGAAACACTCTTTTTGTAATATCTGCAAGAGGATATTTGGATAGCTTTGAGGATTTCGTTGGAAACGGGATTGTCTTCATATAAACTCTAGACAGAAGCATTCTCAGAAGCTTCATTGGGATGTTTCAATTGAAGTCACAGTGTTGAACAGTCCCTTTCATAGAGCAGGTTTGAAACACTCTTTTTGTAGTATCTGGATGTGGACATTTGGAGCGCTTTCAGGCCTACGGTTTAAAAGGAAATATCTTCCCCTGAAAACTAGACAGAAGCATTCTCAGAAACTTATTTGTGATGTGCGCCCTCAGCTAACAGTGTTGAAGCTTTCTTTTCATAGAGCAGTTTTGAAAAACTCTTTTTGTGGAATCTGCAAGTGGATATTTGTCTAGCTTTGAGGATTTCGTTGGAAACGTGATTACATATAAAAAGCAGACAGCAGCATTCTCAGAAACTTATTTGTGATGTGCGCCCTCAACTAACAGTGTTGAAGCTTTCTTTTGATAGAGAAGTTTTGAAACACTCTTTTTGTAATATCTGCAAGAGGATATTTGGATAGCTTTGAGGATTTCGTTGGAAACGGGATTGTCTTCATATAAAGTCTAGACAGAAGCATTCTCAGAAGCTTCATTGGGATGTTTCAATTGAAGTCACAGTGTTGAACAGTTCCTTTCATAGAACAGGTTTGAAACACACTTTTTGTAGTATCTGGAAGTGGACATTTGGAGGGCTCTCAGGACTATGGTGAAAAATTAAATATCTTCCAATAAAAGCTACATAGAAGCAATGTCAGAAACTTTTTCATGATGTATCTACTCAGCTAACAGAGGTGAACCTTTCCTTTGAGAGAGCAGTTTTGAAACACTCTTTTTGTGGAATCTGCAAGTGGATATTTGTCTAGCTTTGAGGATTTCGTTGGAAACGGGATTACATATAAAAAGCAGACAGCAGCATTCCCAGAAACTTCTTTGTGATGTTTGCATTCAAGTCACAGAGTTGAACATTCCCTTTCATAGAGCAGGTTTGAAACACTCTTTTTGTAGCATCTGGATGTGGACATTTGGAGCGCTCTCAGGCCTATGGTGAAAAAGGAAATATCTTCCCCTGAAAACTAGATAGAAGCATTCTCAGAATCTTATTTGTGATGTGCGCCCTCAACTAACAGTGTTGAAGGTTTCTTTTGATAGAGCAGTTTTGAAACACTCTTTTCGTAAAATCTGCAAGAGGATATTTGGATAGCTTTGAGGATTTCGTTGGAAACGGGATTGTCTTCATATAAACTCTAGACAGAAGCATTCTCAGAAGCTTCATTGGGATGTTTCAATTGAAGTCACAGTGTTGAACAGTCCCTTTCATAGAGCAGGTTTGAAACACTCTTTTTGTAGTATCTGGATGTGGACATTTGGAGCGCTTTCAGGCCTATGGTGAAAAAGGAAATATCTTCCCCTGAAAACTAGACAGAAGCATTCTCAGAAACTTATTTGTGATGTGCGCCCTCAACTAACAGTGTTGAAGCTTTCTTTTGATAGAGCAGTTTTGAAACACTCTTTTTGTGGAATCTGCAAGTGGATATTTGTCTAGCTTTGAGGATTTCTTTGGAAACGGGATTACATATAAAAAGCAGACAGCAGCATTCTCAGTAAACTTATTTGTGATGTGCGCCCTCAACTAACAGTGTTGAACCTTTCTTTTGATAGAGCAGTTTTGAAACACTCTTTTTGTAATATCTGCAAGAGGATATTTGGATAGCTTTGAGGATTTCGTTGGAAACGGGATTGTCTTCATATAAACTCTAGACAGAAGCATTCTCAGAAGCTTCATTGGGATGTTTCAATTGAAGTCACAGTGTTGAACAGTCCCTTTCATAGAGCAGGTTTGAAACACTCTTTTTGTAGTATCTGGATGTGGACATTTGGAGCGCTTTCAGGCCTATGGTGAAAAAGGAAATATCTTCCAATAAAAGCTAGATAGAAGCAATGTCAGAAACTTTTTCATGATGTATCTACTCAGCTAACAGAGTTGAACCTTTCTTTTGAGAGAGCAGTTTTGAAACACTCTTTTTGTGGAATCTGCAAGTGGATATTTGTCTAGCTTTGAGGATTTCGTTGGAAACGGGATTACATATAAAAAGCAGACAGCAGCATTCCCAGTAACTTCTTTGTGACGTTTGCATTCAAGTCACAGAGTTGAACATTCCCTTTCATAGAGCAGGTTTGAAACACTCTTTTTGTAGTATCTGGATGTGGACATTTGCAGCGCTTTCAGGCCTATGGTGAAAAAGGAAATATCTTCCCCTGAAAACTAGACAGAAAGCATTCTCAGTAAACTTATTTGTGATGTGCGCCCTCAACTAACAGTGTTGAACCTTTCTTTTGATAGAGCAGTTTTGAAACACTCTTTTTGTAATATCTGCAAGAGGATATTTGGATAGCTTTGAGGATTTCGTTGGA
This sequence comes from Homo sapiens, assembly GCF_000001405.40. NCBI lineage: Eukaryota > Metazoa > Chordata > Mammalia > Primates > Hominidae > Homo > Homo sapiens. The sequence goes on from NC_000002.12 coordinate 93,606,519, forward strand.
AACGGGATTGTCTTCATATAAACTCTAGACAGAAGCATTCTCAGAAGCTTCATTGGGATGTTTCAATTGAAGTCACAGTGTTGAACAGTCCCTTTCATAGAGCAGGTTTGAAACACTCTTTTTGTAGTATCTGGATGTGGACATTTGGAGCGCTTTCAGGCCTATGGTTTAAAAGGAAATATCTTCCCCTGAAAACTAGACAGAAGCAATTCTCAGAATCTTATTTGTGATGTGCGCCATCAACTAACAGTGTTGAAGCTTTCTTTTGATAGAGCAGTTTTGAAACACTCTTTTTGTAAAATCTGCAAGAGGATATTTGGATAGCTTTGAGGATTTCGTTGGAAACGGGATTACATATAAAAAGCAGACAGCAGCATTCTCAGAAACTTATTTGTGATGTGCGCCCTCAACTAACAGTGTTGAAGCTTTCTTTTGATAGAGCAGTTTTGAAACACTCTTTTTGTAATATCTGCAAGAGGATATTTGGATAGCTTTGAGGATTTCGTTGGAAACGGGATTAATTATACAAAGCAGACAGCAGCATTCTCAGAAGCTTCATTCGGATGTTTCAATTGAAGTAACAGTGTTGAACAGTCCCTTTCATAGAGCAGGTTTGAAACACTCTTTTTGTAGTATCTGGAAGTGGACATTTGGAGCGTTCTCAGGACTACAGTGAAAAAGGAAATATCTTCCAATAAAAGCTAGATAGAAGAAATGTCAGAAACTTTTTCATGATGTATCTACTCAGCTAACAGAGTTGAACCTTTCCTTTGAGAGAGCAGTTTTGAAACACTCTTTTTGTGGAATCTGTAAGTGGATATTTGTCTAGCTTTGAGGATTTCGTTGGAAACGGGATTACATATAAAAAGCAGACAGCAGCATTCCCAGAAACTTCTTTGTGATGTTTGCATTCAAGTCACAGAGTTGAACATTCCCTTTCATAGAGCAGGTTTGAAACACTCTTTTTGTAGTATCTGGATGTGGACATTTTGAGCGCTTTCAGGCCTATGGTGAAAAAGGAAATATCTTCCCCTGAAAACTAGACAGAAGCATTCTCAGAAACTTATTTGTGATGTGCGCCCTCAACTAACAGTGTTGAAGCTTTCTTTTGATAGAGCAGTTTTGAAACACTCTTTTTGTAATATCTGCAAGAGGATATTTGGATAGCTTTGAGGATTTCGTTGGAAACGGGATTGTCTTCATATAAACTCTAGACAGAAGCATTCTCAGAAGCTTCATTGGGATGTTTCAATTGAAGTCACAGTGTTGAACAGTCCCTTTCATAGAGCAGGTTTGAAACACTCTTTTTGTAGTATCTGGATGTGGACATTTGGAGCGCTTTCAGGCCTATGGTTTAAAAGGAAATATCTTCCCCTGAAAACTAGACAGAAGCATTCTCAGAAACTTATTTGTGATGTGCGCCCTCAACTAACAGTGTTGAACCTTTCTTTTGATAGAGCAGTTTTGAAACACTCTTTTTGTAATATCTGCAAGAGGATATTTGGATAGCTTTGAGGATTTCGTTGGAAACGGGATTACATATAAAAAGCAGACAGCAGCATTCTCAGTAAACTTATTTGTGATGTGCGCCCTCAACTAACAGTGTTGAACCTTTCTTTTGATAGAGCAGTTTTGAAACACTCTTTTTGTAATATCTGCAAGAGGATATTTGGATAGCTTTGAGGATTTCGTTGGAAACGGGATTGTCTTCATATAAACTCTAGACAGAAGCATTCTCAGAAGCTTCATTGGGATGTTTCAATTGAAGTCACAGTGTTGAACAGTCCCTTTCATAGAGCAGGTTTGAAACACTCTTTTTGTAGTATGTGGAAGTGGACATTTGGAGCGTTCTCAGGACTACGGTGAAAAAGGAAATATCTTCCAATAAAAGCTAGATAGAAGCAATGTCAGAAACTTTTTCATGATGTATCTACTCAGCTAACAGAGTTGAACCTTCCTTTGAGAGAGCAGTTTTGAAACACTCTTTTTGTGGAATCTGCAAGTGGATATTTGTCTAGCTTTGAGGATTTCGTTGGAAACGGGATTGTCTTCAAATAAACTCTAGACAGAAGCATTCCCAGAATCTTGTTTGTGATGTTTGCATTCATGTCACAGAGTTGAACATTCCCTTTCAGAGAGCAGGTTTGAAACACTCTTTTTATAGTATCTGGATGTGGACATTTGGAGCGCTTTCAGGCCTATGGTGAAAAAGGAAATATCTTCTCCTGAAAACTAGACAGAAGCATTCTCAGAAACTTATTTGTGATGTGCGCCCTCAACTAACAGTGTTGAAGCTTTCTTTTGATAGAGCAGTTTTGAAACACTCTTTTTGTAATATCTGCAAGAGGATACTTGGATAGCTTTGAGGATTTCGTTGGAAACGGGATTGTCTTCATATAAACTCTAGACAGAAGCATTCTCAGAAGCTTCATTGGGATGTTTCAATTGAAGTCACAGTGTTGAACACTCCCTTTCATAGAGCAGGTTTGAAACACTCTTTTTGTAGTATCTGGATGTGGACATTTGGAGCGCTTTCAGGCCTATGGTTTAAAAGGAAATATCTTCCCCTGAAAACTAGACAGAAGCATTCTCAGAAACTTATTTGTGATGTGCGCCCTCAACTAACAGTGTTGAAGCTTTCTTTTGATAGAGCAGTTTTGAAACACTCTTTTTGTGGAATCTGCAAGTGGATATTTGTCTAGCTTTGAGGATTTCGTTGGAAACGGGATTACATATAAAAAGCAGACAGCAGCATTCTCAGAAACATATTTGTGATGTACGCCCTCAACTAACAGTGTGGAACCTTTCTTTTGATAGAGCAGTTTTGAAACACTCTTTTTGTAAAATCTGCAAGAGGATATTTGGATAGCTTTGAGGATTTCGTTGGAAACGGGATTGTCTTCATATAAAATCTAGACAGAAGCATTCTCAGAAGCTTCATTGGGATGTTTCAATTGAAGTCACAGTGTTGAACAGTCCCTTTCATAGAGCAGGTTTGAAACACTCTTTTTGTAGTATCTGGAAGTGGACATTTGGAGCGTTCTCAGGACTACGGTGAAAAAGGAAATATCTTCCAATAAAAGCTAGATAGAAGCAATGTCAGAAACTTTTTCATGATGTATCTACTCAGCTAACAGAGTTGAACCTTTCCTTTGAGAGAGCAGTTTTGAAACACTCTTTTTGTGGAATCTGCAAGTGGATATTTGTCTAGCTTTGAGGATTTCGTTGGAAACGGGATTACATATAAAAAGCAGACAGCAGCATTCCCAGTAACTTCTTTGTGATGTTTGCATTCAAGTCACAGAGTTGAACATTCCCTTTCATAGAGCAGGTTTGAAACACTCTTTTTGTAGTATCTGGATGTGGACATTTGGAACGCTTTCAGGCCTATGGTGAAAAAGGAAATATCTTCCCCTGAAAACTAGACAGAAGCATTCTCAGAATCTTATTTGTGATGTGCGCCCTCAACTAACAGAGTTGAAGCTTTCTTTTGATAGAGCAGTTTTGAAACACTCTTTTTGTAAAATCTGCAAGAGGATATTTGGATAGCTTTGAGGATTTCGTTGGAAACGGGATTGTCTTCATATAAACTCTAGACAGAAGCATTCTCAGAAGCTTCATTGGGATGTTTCAATTGAAGTCACAGTGTTGAACAGTCCCTTTCATAGAGCAGGTTTGAAACACTCTTTTTGTAGTATCTGGATGTGGACATTTGGAGCGCTTTCAGGCCTATGGTTTAAAAGGAAATATCTTCCCCTGAAAACTAGACAGAAGCTTTCTCAGAAACTTATTTGTGATGTGCGCCCTCAACTAACAGTGTTGAAGCTTTCTTTTGATAGAGCAGTTTTGAAACACTCTTTTTGTGGAATCTGCAAGTGGATATTTGTCTAGCTTTGAGGATTTCGTTGGAAACGGGATTACATATAAAAAGCAGACAGCAGCATTCTCAGTAAACTTATTTGTGATGTGCGCCCTCAACTAACAGTGTTGAACCTTTCTTTTGATAGAGCAGTTTTGAAACACTCTTTTTGTAATATCTGCAAGAGGATATTTGGATAGCTTTGAGGATTTCGTTGGAAACGGGATTGTCTTCATATAAACTCTAGACAGAAGCATTCTCAGAAGCTTCATTGGGATGTTTCAATTGAAGTCACAGTGTTGAACAGTCCCTTTCATACAGCAGGTTTGAAACACTCTTTTTGTAGTATCTGGAAGTGGACATTTGGAGAGATCTCAGGAATACGGTGATAAAGGAAATATCTTCCAATAAAAGCTAGATAGAAGCAATGTCAGAAACTTTTTCATGATGTACCTACTCAGCTAACAGAGTTGAACCTTTCTTTTGAGAGAACAGTTTTGAAACACTCTTTTTGTGGAATCTGCAAGTGGATATTTGTCTAGCTTTGAGGATTTCGTTGGAAACGGGATTACATAGAAAAAGCAGACAGCATCATTCCCAGAATCTTGTTTGTGATGTTTGCATTCAAGTCACAGAGTTGAACATTCCCTTTCAGAGAGCAGGTTTGAAACACTCTTTTTATAGTATCTGGATGTGGACATTTGGAGCGCTTTCAGGCCTATGGTGAAAAAGGAAATATCTTCTCCTGAAAACTAAACAGAAGCATTCTCAGAATCTGATTTGTGATGTGCGCCCTCAACTAACAGTGTTGAAGCTTTCTTTTGATAGAGCAGTTTTGAAACACTCTTTTTGTAAAATCTGCAAGAGGATATTTGGATAGCTTTGAGGATTTCGTTGGAAACGGGATTGTCTTCATATAAACTCCAGACAGAAGCATTCTCAGAAGCTTCATTGGGATGTTTCAATTGAAGTCACAGTGTTGAACAGTCCCTTTCATAGAGCAGGTTTGAAACACTCTTTTTGTAGTATCTGGATGTGGACATTTGGAGCGCTTTCAGGCCTATGGTTTAAAAGGAAATATCTTCCCCTGAAAACTAGACAGAAGCATTCTCAGAAACTTATTTGTGATGTGCGCCCTCAACTAACAGTGTTGAAGCTTTCTTTTGATAGAGCAGTTTTGAAACACTCTTTTTGTAATATCTGCAAGAGGATATTTGGATAGCTTTGAGGATTTCGTTGGAAACGGGATTAATTATAAAAAGCAGACAGCAGCATTCTCAGAAACTTATTTGTGATGTGCGCCCTCAACTAACAGTGTTGAAGCTTTCTTTTGATAGAGCAGTTTTGAAACACTCTTTTTGTAATATCTGCAAGAGGATATTTGGATAGCTTTGAGGATTTCGTTGGAAACGGGATTAATTATACAAAGCAGACAGCACCATTCTCAGAAGCTTCATTGGGATGTTTCAATTGAAGTCACAGTGTTGAACAGTCCCTTTCATAGAGCATGTTTGAAACACTCTTTTTGTAGTATCTGGAAGTTGACATTTGGAGCGTTTTCAGGACTACGGTGAAAAAGGAAATATCTTCCAAAGAAAGCTAGATAGAAGCAATGTCAGAAACTTTTTCATGATGTATCTGCTCAGCTAACAGGGTTGAACCTTTCTTTTGAGAGAGCAGTTTTGAAACACTCTTTTTGTGGAATCTGCAAGTGGATATTTGTCTAGCTTTGAGGATTTCGTTGGAAACGGGATTACATATAAAAAGCAGACAGCAGCATTCCCAGTAACTTCTTTGTGATGTTTGCATTCAAGTCACAGAGTTGAACATTCCCTTTCATAGAGCAGGTTTGAAACACTCTTTTTGTAGTATCTGGATGTGGACATTTGGAGCGCTTTCAGGCCTATGGTGAAAAAGGAAATATCTTCCCCTGAAAACTAGACAGAAGCATTCTCAGAAACTTATTTGTGATGTGCGCCCTCAACTAACGGTGTTGAACCTTTCTTTTGATAGAGCAGTTTTGAAACACTCTTTTTGTAATATCTGCAAGAGGATATTTGGATAGCTTTGAGGATTTCGTTGGAAACGGGATTGTCTTCATATAAACTCTAGACAGAAGCATTCTCAGAAGCTTCATTGGGATGTTTCAATTGAAGTCACAGTGTTGAACAGTCCCTTTCATAGAGCAGGTTTGAAACACTCTTTTTGTAGTATCTGGATGTGGACATTTCGAGCGCTTTCAGGCCTATGGTGAAAAAGGAAATATCTTCCCCTGAAAACTAGACAGAAGCATTCTCAGAAACTTATTTGTGATGTGCGCCCTCAACTAACAGTGTTGAAGCATTCTTTTGATAGAGCAGTTTTGAAACACTCTTTTTGTGGAATCTGCAAGTGGATATTTGTCTAGCTTTGAGGATTTCGTTGGAAACGGGATTACATATAAAAAGCAGACAGCAGCATTCTCAGAAACTTATTTGTGATGTGCGCCCTCAACTAACAGTGTTGAACTTTTCTTTTGATAGAGCAGTTTTGAAACACTCTTTCTGTAAAATCTGCAAGAGGATATTTGGATAGCTTTGAAGATTTCGTTGGAAACGGGATTGTCTTCATATAAACTCTAGACAGAAGCATTCTCAGAAGCTTCATTGGGATGATTCAATTGAAGTCACAGTGTTGAACAGTCCCTTTCATAGAGCATGTTTGAAACACTCTTTTTGTAGTATCTGGAAGTTGACATTTGGAGCGTTTTCAGGACTACGGTGAAAAAGGAAATATCTTCCAAATAAAGCTAGATAGAAGCAATGTCAGAAAATTTTTCATGAGGTATCTACTCAGCTAACAGAATTGAACCTTTCTTTTGAGAGAGCAGTTTTGAAACACTCTTTTTGTGGAATCTGCAGGTGGATATTTGTCTAGCTTTGAGGATTTCGTTGGAAACGGGATTACATATAAAAAGCAGACAGCAGCATTCCCAGAATCTTCTTTGTGATGTTTGCATTCAAGTCACAGAGTTGAACATTCCCTTTCAGAGAGCAGGTTTGAAACACTCTTTTTATAGTATCTGGATGTGGACATTTGGAGCGCTTTCAGGCCTATGATGAAAAAGGAAATATCTTCTCCTGAAAACTAGACAGAAGCATTCTCAGAAACTTATTTGTGATGTGCGCCCTCAACTAACAGTGTTGAAGCTTTCTTTTGATAGAGCAGTTTTGAAACACTCTTTTTGTAATATCTGCAAGAGGATATTTGGATAGCTTTGAGGATTTCGTTGGAAACGGGATTGTCTTCATATAAACTCTAGGCAGAAGCATTCTCAGAAGCTTCATTGGGATGTTTCAATTGAAGTCACAGTGTTGAACAGTCCCTTTCATAGAGCAGGTTTGAAACACTCTTTTTGTAGTATCTGGATGTGGACATTTAGAGCGCTTTCAGGCCTATGGTGAAAAAGGAAATATCTTCCCCTGAAAACTAGACAGAAGCATTCTCAGAAACTTATTTGTGATGTGCGCCCTCAACTAACAGTGTTGAACCTTTCTTTTGATAGAGCAGTTTTGAAACACTCTTTTTGTAATATCTGCAAGAGGATATTTGGATAGCTTTGAGGATTTCGTTGGAAACGGGATTACATATAAAAAGCAGACAGCAGCATTCTCAGAAACTTATTTGTGATGTGCGCCCTCAACTAACAGTGTTGAAGCTTTCTTTTGATAGAGCAGTTTTGAAACACTCTTTTTGTAATATCTGCAAGAGGATATTTGGATAGCTTTGAGGATTTCGTTGGAAACGGGATTAATTATACAAAGCAGACAGCAGCATTCTCAGAAGCTTCATTGGGATGTTTCAATTGAAGTCACAGTGTTGAACAGTCCCTTTCATAGAGCAGGTTTGAAACACCCTTTTTGTAGTATCTGGAAGTGGACATTTGGAGCGCTCTCAGGACTACGGTGAAAAAGGAAATATCTTCCAATAAAAGCTAGATAGAAGCAATGTCAGAAACTTTTTCATGATGTATCTACTCAGCTAACAGAGTTGAACCTTTTTTTTGAGAGAGCAGTTTTGAAACACTCTTTTTGTTCGATCTGCAGGTGGATATTTGTCTAGGTTTGAGGATTTCGTTGGAAACGGGATTACATATAAAAAGCAGACAGCAGCATTCCCAGTAAACTTCTTTGTGATGTTTGCATTCAAGTCACAGAGTTGAACATTCCCTTTCATAGAGCAGGTTTGAAACACTCTTTTTTTAGTATCTGGATGTGGACATTTGCAGCGCTTTCAGGCCTAAGGTGAAAAAGGAAATATCTTCCCCTGAAAACTAGACAGAAGCATTCTCAGAAACTTATTTGTGATGTGCGCCCTCAACTAACACTGCTGAACCTTTCTTTTGATAGAGCAGTTTTGAAACACTCTTTTTGTAATATCTGCAAGAGGATATTTGGATAGCTTTGAGGATTTCGTTGGAAACGGGATTGTCTTCATATAAAATCTAGACAGAAGCATTCTCAGAAGCTTCATTGGGATGTTTCAATTGAAGTCACAGTGTTGAACAGTCCCTTTCATAGAGCAGGTTTCAAACACTCTTTTTGTAGTATCTGGATGTGGACATTTGGAGCGCTTTCAGGCCTATGGTTTAAAAGGAAATATCTTCCCCTGAAAACTAGACAGAAGCATTCTCAGAAACTTATTTGTGATGTGCGCCCTCAACTAACAGTGTTGAAGCATTCTTTTGATAGAGCAGTTTTGAAACACTCTTTTTGTGGAATCTGCAAGTGGATATTTGTCTAGCTTTGAGGATTTCGTTGGAAACGGGATTACATATAAAAAGCAGACAGCAGCATTCTCAGAAACTTATTTGTGATGTGCGCCCTCAACTAACAGTGTTGAAGCTTTATTTTGATAGAGCAGTTTTGAAACACTCTTTTTGTAATATCTGCAAGAGAATATTTGGATAGCTTTGAGGATTTCGTTGGAAACGGGATTGTCTTCATATAAACTCTAGAAAGAAGCATTCTCAGAAGCTTCATTGGGATGTTTCAATTGAAGTCACAGTGTTGAACAGTCCCTTTCATAGAGCAGGTTTGAAACACTCTTTTTGTAGTATCTGGAAGTGGACATTTGGAGAGATCTCAGGAATACGGTGATAAAGGAAATATCTTCCAATAAAAGCTAGATAGAAGCAATGTCAGAAACTTTTTCATGATGTATCTACTCAGCTAACAGAGTTGAACCTTTCTTTTGAGAGAGCAGTTTTGAAACACTCTTTTTGTGGAATCTGCAAGTGGATATTTTTCTAGCTTTGAGGATTTCGTTGGAAACGGGATTACATATAAAAAGCAGCAGCATTCCCAGCAAACTTCTTTGTGATGTTTGCATTCAAGTCACAGAGTTGAACATTCCCTTTCATAGAGCAGGTTTGAAACACTCTTTTTGTAGTATCTGGATGTGGACATTTGCAGCGCTTTCAGGCCTAAGGTGAAAAAGGAAATATCTTCCCCTGAAAACTAGACAGAAGCATTCTCAGAAACTTATTTGTGATGTGCGCCCTCAACTAACAGTGTTGAAGCTTTCTTTTGATAGAGCAGTTTTGAAACACTCTTTTTGTAAAATCTGCAAGAGGATATTTGGATAGCTTTGAGGATTTCGTTGGAAACGGGATTGTCTTCATATAAACTCTAGACAGAAGCATTCTCAGAAACTTCTTTGTGATGTTTGCATTCAAGTCACAGAGTTGAACATTCCCTTTCATAGAGCAGGTTTGAAACACTCTTTTTGTAGTATCTGGACGTGGACATTTGGAGAGCTTTCAGGCCTATGGTGAAAAAGGAAATATCTTCCCCTGAAAACTAGACAGAAGCATTCTCAGAAACTTATTTGTGATGTGCGCCCTCAACTAACAGAATTGAATCATCGTTTTGAAAGAGCAGTTTTGAAACACTCCTTTTGTGGAATCTGCAAGTGGATATTTGTCTAGCTTTGAGGATTTCGTTGGAAACGGGATTACATATAAAAAGCAGACAGCAGCATTCTCAGCAAACTTATTTGTGATGTGCGCCCTCAACTAACAGTGTGGAACTTTTCTTTTGATAGAGCAGTTTTGAAACACTCTTTTTGTAAAATCTGCAAGAGGATATTTGGATAGCTTTGAGGATTTCGTTGGAAACGGGATTGTCTTCATATAGAATCTAGACAGAAGCATTCTGATAAGCTTCATAGGGATGTTTCAATTGAAGTCACAGTGTTGAACAGTCACTTTCATAGAGCAGGTTTGAAACACTCTTTTTGTAGCATCTGGAAGTGGACATTTGGAGCGCTCTCAGGACTACGGTGAAAAAGGAAATATCTTCCAATAAAAGCTAGATAGAAGCAATGTCAGAAATTTTTCATGATGTATCTACTCAGCTAACAGAGTTGAACCTTCCTTTGAGAGAGCAGTTTTGAAACACTCTTTTTGTGGAATCTGCAAGTGGATATTTGTCTAGCTTTGAGGATTTCGTTGGAAACGGGATTACATATAAAAAGCAGACAGCAGCATTCCCAGTAATCTTGTTTGTGATCTTTGCATTCAAGTCACAGAGTTGAACATTCCCTTTCAGAGAGCAGGTTTGAAACACTCTTTTTATAGTATCTGGATGTGGACATTTGGAGCGCTTTCAGGCCTATGGTGAAAAAGGAAATATCTTCTCCTGAAAACTAGACAGAAGCATTCTCAGAAACTTATTTGTGATGTGCGCCCTCAACTAACAGTGTTGAAGCTTTCTTTTGATAGAGCAGTTTTGAAACACTCTTTTTGTAATATCTGCAAGAGGATATTTGGATAGCTTTGAGGATTTCGTTGGAAACGGGATTGTCTTCATATAAACTCTAGGCAGAAGCATTCTCAGAAGCTTCATTGGGATGTTTCAATTGAAGTCACAGTGTTGAACAGTCCCTTTCATAGAGCAGGTTTGAAACACTCTTTTTGTAGTATCTGGATGTGGACATTTGGAGCGCTTTCAGGCCTATGGTTTAAAAGGAAATATCTTCCCCTGAAAACTAGACAGAAGCATTCTCAGAAACTTATTTGTGATGTGCGCCCTCAACTAACAGTGTTGAAGCTTTCTTTTGATAGAGCAGTTTTGAAACACTCTTTTTGTGGAATCTGCATGTGGATATTTTTCTAGCTTTGAGGATTTCGTTGGAAACGGGATTACATATAAAAAGCAGACAGCAGCATTCTCAGAAACTTATTTGTGATGTGCGCCCTCAACTAACAGTGTTGAAGCTTTCTTTTGATAGAGCAGTTTTGAAACACTCTTTTTGTAATATCTGCAAGAGGATATTTGGATAGCATTGAGGATTTCGTTGGAAACGGGATTGTCTTCATATAAACTCTAGACAGAAGCATTCTCAGAAGCTTCATTGGGATGTTTCAATTGAAGTCACAGTGTTGAACAGTTCCTTTCATAGAACAGGTTTGAAACACTCTTTTTGTAGTATCTGGAAGTGGACATTTGGAGCGCTCTCAGGACTAGGGTGAAAAAGGAAATATCTTCCAATAAAAGCTAGATAGAAGCAATGTCAGAAACTTTTTCATGATGTATCTACTCAGCTAACAGAGTTGAACCTTCCTTTGAGAGAGCAGTTTTGAAACACTCTTTTTGTGGAATCTGCAAGTGGATATTTGTCTAGCTTTGAGGATTGCGTTGGAAACGGGATTACATATAAAAAGCAGACAGCAGCATTCCCAGAAACTTCTTTGTGATGTTTGCATTCAAGTCACAGAGTTGAACATTCCCTTTCATAGAGCAGGTTTGAAACACTCTTTTTGTAGTATCTGGATTTGGACATTTGGAGCGCTTTCAGGCCTATGGTGAAAAAGGAAATATCTTCCACTGAAAACTAGACAGAAGCATTCTCAGAATCTTATTTGTGATGTGCGCCCTCAACTAACAGTGTTGAAGCTTTCTTTTGATAGAGCAGTTTTGAAACACTCTGTTCGTAAAATCTGCAAGAGGATATTTTGATAGCTTTGAGGATTTCGTTGGATACGGGATTGTCTTCATATAAACTCTAGACAGAAGCATTCTCAGAAGCTTCATTGGGATGTTTCAATTGAAGTCACAGTGTTGAACAGTCCCTTTCATAGAGCAGGTTTGAAACACTCTTTTTGTAGTATCTGGATGTGGACATTTGGAGCGCTTTCAGGCCTATGGTGAAAAAGGAAATATCTTCCCCTGAAAACTAGACAGAAGCATTCTCAGAAACTTATTTGTGATGTGCCCCCTCAACTAACAGTGTTGAAGCTTTCTTTTGATAGAGCAGTTTAGAAACACTCTTTTTGTGGAATCTGCAAGTGGATATTTGTGCTAGCTTTGAGGATTTCGTTGGAAACGGGATTACATATAAAAAGCAGACAGCAGCATTCTCAGAAACTTATTTGTGATGTGCGCCCTCAACTAACAGTGTTGAACCTTTCTTTTGATAGAGCAGTTTTGAAACACTCTTTTTGTAATATCAGCAAGAGGATATTTGGATAGCTTTGAGGATTTCGTTGGAAACGGGATTGTCTTCATATAAACTCTAGACAGAAGCATTCTCAGAAGCTTCATTGGGATGTTTCAATTGAAGTCACAGTGTTGAACAGTCCCTTTCATAGAGCAGGTTTGAAACACCCTTTTTGTAGTATCTGGAAGTGGACATTTGGAGAGATACTCAGGAATACGGTGACAAAGGAAATATCTTCCAATAAAAGCTAGATAGAAGCAATGTCAGAAACTTTTTCATGATGTATCTACTCAGCTAACAGCAGTTGAACCTTTCTTTTGAGACAGCAGTTTTGAAACACTCTTTTTGTGGAATCTGGAAGTGGATATTTGTCTAGCTTTGAGGATTTCGTTGGAAACGGGATTACATATAAAAAGCAGACAGCAGCATTCCCAGAAACTTCTTTGTGATGTTTGCATTCAAGTCACAGAGTTGAACATTCCCTTTCATAGAGCAGGTTTGAAACTCTCTTTTTGTAGTATCTGGATGTGGACATTTGGAGCGCTTTCAGGCCTATGGTGAAAAAGGAAATATCTTCCCCTGAAAACTAGACAGAAGCATTCTCAGAAACTTATTTGTGATGTGCGCCCTCAACTAACAGTGTTGAACCTTTCTTTTGATAGAGCAGTTTTGAAACACTCTTTTTGTAATATCTGCAAGAGGATATTTGGATAGCTTTGAGGATTTCGTTGGAAACGGGATTGTCTTCATATAAACTCTAGACAGAAGCATTCTCAGAAGCGTCATTGGGATGTTTCAATTGAAGTCACAGTGTTGAACAGTCCCTTTCATAGAGCAGGTTTGAAACACTCTTTTTGTAGTATCTGGATGTGGACATTTGGAGCGCTTTCAGGCCTATGGTTTAAAAGGAAATATCTTCCCTTGAAAACTAGACAGAAGCATTCTCAGAAACTTATTTGTGATGTGCGCCCTCAACTAACAGTGTTGAAGCTTTCTTTTGATACAGCAGTTTTGAAACACTCTTTTTGTGGAATCTGCAAGTGTATATTTGTCTAGCTTTGAGGATTTCGTTGGAAACGGGATTACATATAAAAAGCAGACAGCAGCATTCTCAGAAACTTATTTGTGATGTGCGCCCTCAACTAACAGTGTTGAAGCTTTCTTTTGATAGAGCAGTTTTGAAACACTCTTTTTGTAATATCTGCAAGAGGATATTTGGATAGCTTTGAGGATTTCGTTGGAAACGGGATTAATTATACAAAGCAGACAGCAGCATTCTCAGAAGCTTCATTGGGATGTTTCAATTGAAGTCACAGTGTTGAACAGTCCCTTTCATAGAGCAGGTTTGAAACACTCTTTTTGTAGTATCTGGAAGTGGACATTTGGAGCGCTCTCAGGACTACGGTGAAAAAGGAAATATCTTCCAATAAAAGCTACATAGAAGCAATGTCAGAAACTTTTTCATGATGTATCTACTCAGCTAACAGAGTTGAACCTTTCTTTTGAGAGAGCAGTTTTGAAACACTCTTTTTGTGGAATCTGCAAGTGGATATTTGTCTAGCTTTGAGGATTTCGTTGGAAACGGGATTACATATAAAAAGCAGACAGCAGCATTCCCAGAATCTTCTTTGTGATGTTTGCATTCAAGTCACAGAGTTGAACATTCCATTTCATAGAGCAGGTTTGAAACACTCTTTTTATAGTATCTGGATGTGGACATTTGGAGCGCTTTCAGGCCTATGGTGAAAAAGGAAATATATTCTCCTGAAAACTAGACAGAAGCATTCTCAGAATCTTATTTGTGATGTGCGCCCTCAACTAACAGTGTTGAACCTTTCTTTTGATAGAGCAGTTTTGAAACACTCTTTTTGTAAAATCTGCAAGAGGATATTTGGATAGCTTTGAGGATTTCGTTGGAAACGGGATTGTCTTCATATAAACTCTAGACAGAAGCATTCTCAGAAGCTTCATTGGGATGTTTCAATTGAAGTCACAGTGTTGAACAGTCCCTTTCATAGAGCAGGTTTGAAACACTCTTTTTGTAGTATCTGGATGTGGACATTTGGAGCGCTTTCAGGCCTATGGTGAAAAAGGAAATATCTTCCCCTGAAAACTAGACAGAAGCATTCTCAGAATCTTATTTGTGATGTGCGCCCTCAACTAACAGTGTTGAAGCTTTCTTTTGATAGAGCAGTTTTGAAACACTCTTTTTGTAAAATCTGCAAGAGGATATTTGGATAGCTTTGAGGATTTCGTTGGAAACGGGATTACATATAAAAAGCAGACAGCAGCATTCTCAGAAACTTATTTGTGATGTGCGCCCTCAACTAACAGTGTTGAAGCTTTCTTTTGATAGAGCAGTTTTGAAACACTCTTTTTGTAATATCTGCAAGAGGATATTTGGATAGCTTTGAGGATTTCGTTGGAAACGGGATTAATTATACAAAGCAGACAGCAGCATTCTCAGAAGCTTCATTGGGATGTTTCAATTGAAGTCACAGTGTTGAACAGTCCCTTTCATAGAGCAGGTTTGAAACACTCTTTTTGTAGTATCTGGAAGTGGACATTTGGAGCGCTCTCAGGACTACGGTGAAAAACGAAATATCTTCCAATAAAAGCTACATAGAAGCAATGTCAGAAACTTTTTCATGATGTATCTACTCAGCTAACAGAGTTGAACCTTTCCTTTGAGAGAGCAGTTTTGAAACACTCTTTTTGTGGAATCTGCAAGTGGATATTTGTCTAGCTTTGAGGATTTCGTTGGAAACGGGATTACATATAAAAAGCAGACAGCAGCATTCCCAGTAACTTCTTTGTGATGTTTGCATTCAAGTCACAGAGTTGAACATTCCCTTTCATAGAGCAGGTTTGAAACACTCTTTTTGTAGTATCTGGATGTGGACATTTGGAGCGCTTTCAGGCCTATTGTGAAAAAGGAAATATCTTCCCCTGAAAACTAGACAGAAGCATTCTCAGAATCTTATTTGTGATGTGCGCCCTCAACTAACAGTGTTGAAGCTTTCTTTTGATAGAGCAGTTTTGAAACACTCTTTTCGTAAAATCTGCAAGAGGATATTTTGATAGCTTTGAGGATTACGTTGGAAACGGGATTGTCTTCATATAAACTCTAGACAGAAGCATTCTCAGAAGCATCATGGGGATGTTTCAATTGAAGTCACAATGTTGAACAGTCCCTTTCATAGAGCAGGATTGAAACACTCTTTTTGTAGTATCTGGATGTGGACATTTGAGCGCTTTCAGGCCTATGGTTTAAAAGGAAATATCTTCCCCTGAAAACTAGACAGAAGCATTCTCAGAAACTTATTTGTGATGTGCGCCCTCATCTAACAGTGTTGAAGCTTTCTTTTGATAGAGCAGTTTTGAAACACTCTTTTTATGGAATCTGCAAGAGGATATTTGTCTAGCTTTGAGGATTTCGTTGGAAACGGGATTACATATAAAAAGCAGACAGCAGCATTCTCAGTAAACTTATTTGTGATGTGCGCCCTCAACTAACAGTGTTGAACCTTTCTTTTGATAGAGCAGTTTTGAAACACTCTTTTTGTAATATCTGCAAGAGGATATTTGGATAGCTTTGAGGATTTCGTTGGAAACGGGATTGTCTTCATATAAACTCTAGACAGAAGCATTCTCAGAAGCTTCATTGGGCATGTTTCAATTGAAGTCACAGTGTTGAACAGTCCCTTTCATAGCAGCAGGTTTGAAACACTCTTTTTGTAGTATCTGGAAGTGGACTTTTGGAGAGATCTCAGGAATACGGTGATAAAGGAAATATCTTCCAATAAAAGCTACATAGAAGCAATGTCAGAAAATTTCTCATGATGTATCTGTTCAGCTAACAGAGTTGAACCTTTCTTTTGACAGAGCAGTTTTGAAACACTCTTTTGGTGGAATCTGCAAGTGGATATTTGTCTAGCTTTGAGGATTTCGTTGGAAACGGGATTACATATAAAAAGCAGACAGCAGCATTCCCAGAATCTTCTTTGTGATGTTTGCATTCAAGTCACAGAGTTGAACATTCCCTTTCATAGAGCAGGTTTGAAACACTCTTTTTGTAGTATCTGGATGTGGACATTTGGAGCGCTTTCAGGCCTATGGTGAAAAAGGAAATATCTTCCCCTGAAAACTAGACAGAAGCATTCTCAGAAACTTATTTGTGATGTGCGCCCTCAACTAACAGTGTTGAACCTTTCTTTTGATAGAGCAGTTTTGAAACACTCTTTTTGTAATATCTGCAAGACGATATTTGGATAGCTTTGAGGATTTCGTTGGAAACGGGATTGTCTTCATATAAACTCTAGACAGAAGCATTCTCAGAAGCTTCATTGGGATGTTTCAATTGAAGTCACAGTGTTGAACAGTCCCTTTCATAGAGCAGGTTTGAAACACTCTTTTTGTAGTATCTGGATGTGGACATTTGGAGCGCTTTCAGGCCTATGGTGAAAAAGGAAATATCTTCCCCTGAAAACTAGACAGAAGCATTCTCAGAATCTTATTTGTGATGTGCGCCCTCAACTAACAGTGTTGAAGCTTTCTTTTGACAGAGCAGTTTTGAAACACTCTTTTTATCTGCAAGTGGATATTTGTCTAGCTTTGAGGATTTCGTTGGAAACGGGATTACATATAAAAAGCAGACAGCAGCATTCTCAGAAACTTATTTGTGATGCGCACCCTCAACTAACAGTGTTGAAGCTTTCTTTTGATAGAGCAGTTTTGAAACACTCTTTTTGTAAAATCTGCAAGAGGATATTTGGATAGCTTTGAGGATTTCGGTGGAAATGGGATTGTCTTCATATAAACTCTAGACAGTAGCATTCTCAGAAGATTCATTGGGGTGTTTCAATTGAAGTCACAGTGTTGAACATTCCCTTTCATAGAGCAGGTTTGAAACACTCTTTTTGTAGTATCTGGAAGTGGACATTTGGAGCGCTCTCAGGACTACGGTGAAAAAGGAAATATCTTCCAATAAAAGCTAGATAGAAGCAATGTCAGAAACTTTTTCATGATGTATCTACTCAGCTAACAGAGTTGAACCTTTCTTTTGAGAGAGCAGTTTTGAAACACTCTTTTTGTGGAATCTGCAAGTGGATATTTGTCTAGCTTTGAGGATTTCGTTGGAAACGGGATTACATATAAAAAGCAGACAGCAGCATTCCCAGAAACTTCTTTGTGATGTTTGCATTCAAGTCACAGAGTTGAACATTCCCTTTCATAGAGCAGGTTTGAAACACTCTTTTTGTAGTATCTGGATGTGGACATTTGGAGCGCTTTCAGGCCTATGGTGAAAAAGGAAATATCTTGCCCTGAAAACTAGACAGAAGCATTCTCAGCAATCTTATTTGTGATGTGCGCCCTCAACTAACAGTGTTGAACCTTTCTTTTGATAGAGCAGTTTTGAAACACTCTTTTTGTAAAATCTGCAAGAGGATATTTGGATAGCTTTGAAGATTTCGTTGGAAACGGGATTGTCTTCATATAAACTCTAGACAGAAGCATTCTCAGAAGCTTCATTGGGATGTTTCAATTGAAGTTGCAGTGTTGAACAGTCCCTTTCATAGAGCAGGTTTGAAACACTCTTTTTGTAGTATCTGGATGTGGACATTTGGAGCGCTTTCAGGCCTATGGTTTAAAAGGAAATATCTTCCCCTGAAAACTAGACAGAAGCATTCTCAGAAACTTATTTGTGATGTGCGCCCTCAACTAACAGTGTTGAAGCTTTCTTTTGATATAGCAGTTTTGAAACACTCTTTTTGTGGAATCTGCAGGTGGATATTTGTCTAGCTTTGAGGATTTCGTTGGAAACGGGATTACATATAAAAAGCAGACAGCAGCATTCTCAGTAAACTTATTTGTGATGTGCGCCCTCAACTAACAGTGTTGAACCTTTCTTTTGATAGAGCAGTTTTGAAACACTCTTTTTGTAATATCTGCAAGAGGATATTTGGATAGCTTTGAGGATTTCGTTGGAAACGGGATTGTCTTCATATAAACTCTAGACAGAAGCATTCTCAGAAGCTTCATTGGGATGTTTCAATTGAAGTCACAGTGTTGAACAGTCCCTTTCATAGAGCAGGTTTGAAACACTCTTTTTGTAGTATCTGGAAGTGGACATTTGGAGCGCTCTCAGGACTGCGGTGAAAAAGGAACTATCTTCCAATAAAAGCTAGATAGAAGCAATGTCAGAAACTTTTTCATGATGTATCTACTCAGCTAACAGAGTTGAACCTTCCTTTGAGAGAGCAGTTTTGAAACACTCTTTTTGTGGAATTTGCAAGTGGATATTTGTCTAGCTTTGAGGATTTCGTTGGAAACGGGATTACATATAAAAAGCAGACAGCAGCATTCCCAGAAACTTCTTTGTGATGTTTGCATTCACGTCACAGAGTTGAACATTCCCTTTCATAGAGCAGGTTTGAAACACTCTTTTTGTAGTATCTGGATGTGGACATTTGGAGCGCTTTCAAGCCTATGGTGAAAAAGGAAATATCTTCCCCTGAAAACTAGACAGAAGCATTCTCAGAAACTTATTTGTGATGTGCGCCCTCAACTAACAGTGTTGAAGCTTTCTTTTGATAGAGCAGTTTTGAAACACTCTTTTTGTAAAATCTGCAAGAGGATATTTGGATAGCTTTGAGGATTTCGTTGGAAACGGGATTGTCTTCATATACAATCTAGACAGAAGCATTCTCAGAAGCGTCATTGGGATGTTTCAATTGAAGTCACAGTGTTGAACAGTCCCTTTCATAGAGCAGGTTTGAAACACTCTTTTTGTAGTATCTGGATGTGGACATTTGGAGCGCTTTCAGGCCTATGGTTTAAAAGGAAATATCTTCCCCTGAAAACTAGACAGAAGCATTCTCAGAAACTTATTTGTGATGTGCGCCCTCAACTAACAGTGTTGAAGCATTCTTTTGATAGAGCAGTTTTGAAACACTCTTTTTGTGGAATCTGCAAGTGGATATTTGTCTAGCTTTGAGGATTTCGTTGGAAACGGGATTAATTATAAAAAGCAGACAGCAGCATTCTCAGAAACTTATTTGTGATGTGCGCCCTCAACTAACAGTGTTGAACCTTTCTTTTGATAGAGCAGTTTCGAAACATTCTTTTTGTAAAATCTGCAAGAGGATATTTGCATAGCTTTGAGGATTTCGTTGGAAACGGGATTGTCTTCATATAGAATCTAGACAGAATCATTCTCAGAAGCTTCATTGGGATGTTTCAATTGAAGTCACAGTGTTGAACAGTCCCTTTCATAGAGCAGATTTGAAACACTCTTTTTGTAGTATCTAGAAGTGGACATTTGGAGCGTTCTCAGGACTACAGTGAAAAAGGAAATATCTTCCAATAAAAGCTAGATAGAAGCAATGTCAGAAAATTGTTCATGATGTATCTACTCAGCTAACAGAGTTGAACCTTTCTTTTGAGAGAGCAGTTTTGAAACACTCTTTTTGTGGAATCTGCAAGTGGATATTTGTCTAGCTTTGAGGATTGCGTTGGAAACGGGATTACATATAAAAAGCAGACAGCAGCATTCCCAGAAACTTCTTTGTGATATTTGCCTTCAAGTTCCAGAGTTGAACATTCCCTTTCATAGAGCAGGTTTGAAACACTGTTTTTGTAGTATCTGGATGTGGACATTTGGAGCGCTTTCAGGCCTATGGTGAAAAAGGAAATATCTTCCCCTGAAAACTAGACAGAAGCATTCTCAGAATGTTATTTGTTATGTGCGCCCTCAACTAACAGTGTTGAAGCTTTCTTTTGATAGAGCAGTTTTGAAACACTCTTTTTGTAAAATCTGCAAGAGGATATTTGGATAGCTTTGAGGATTTCTTTGGAAACGGGATTGTCTTCATATAAACTCTAGACAGAAGCATTCTCAGAAGCTTCATTGGGATGTTTCAATTGAAGTCACAGTGTTGAACAGTCCCTTTCATAGAGCAGGTTTGAAACACTCTTTTTGTAGTATCTGGATGTGGACATTTCGAGCGCTTTCAGGCCTATGGTGAAAAAGGAAATATCTTCCCCTGAAAACTAGACAGAAGCATTCTCAGAAACTTATTTGTGATGTGCGCCTTCAACTAACAGTGTTGAAGCATTCTTTTGATAGAGCAGTTTTGAAACACTCTTTTTGTGGAATCTGCAAGTGGATAATTGTCTAGCTTTGAGGATTTCGTTGGAAACGGGATTACATATAAAAAGCAGACAGCAGCATTCTCAGAAACTTATTTGTGATGTGCGCCCTCAACTAACAGTGTTGAAGCTTTCTTTTGATAGAGCAGTTTTGAAACACTCTTTTTGTAATATCTGCAAGAGGATATTTGGATAGCTTTGAGGATTTCGTTGGAAACGGGATTAATTATACAAAGCAGACAGCAGCATTCTCAGAAGCTTCATTGGGATGTTTCAATTGAAGTCACAGTGTTGAACAGTTCCTTTCATAGAACAGGTTTGAAACACTCTTTTTGTAGTATCTGGAAGTGGACATTTGGAGCGCTCTCAGGACTACGGTGAAAATGGAAATATCTTCCAATAAAAGCTACATAGAAGCAATGTCAGAAACTTTTTCATGATGTATCTACTCAGCTAACAGAGTTGAACCTTTCCTTTGAGAGAGCAGTTTTGAAACACTCTTTTTGTGGAATCTGCAAGTGGATATTTGTCTAGCTTTGAGGATTTCGTTGGAAACGGGATTACATATAAAAAGCAGACAGCAGCATTCCCAGAAACTTCTTTGTGATGTTTGCATTCAAGTCACAGATTTGAACATTCCCTTTCATAGAGCAGGTTTGAAACACACTTTTTGTAGTATCTGTATGTGGACATTTGGAGCGCTTTCAGGCCTATGGTGAAAAAGGAAATATCTTCCCCTGAAAACTAGACAGAAGCATTCTCAGAATCTTATTTGTGATGTGCGCCCTCAACTAACACTGTTGAAGCTTTCTTTTGATAGAGCAGTTTTGAAACACTCTTTTCGTAAAATCTGCAAGAGGATATTTGGATAGCTTTGAGGATTACGTTGGAAACGGGATTGTCTTCATATAAACTCTAGACAGAAGCATTCTCAGAAGCTTCATTGGGATGTTTCAATTGAAGTCACAGTGTTGAACAGTCCCTTTCATAGAGCAGGTTTGAAACACTCTTTTTGTAGTATCTGGATGTGGACATTTGGAGCGCTTTCAGGCCTATGGTGAAAAAGGAAATATCTTCCCCTGAAAACTAGACAGAAGCATTCTCAGAAACTTATTTGTGATGTGCGCCCTCAACTCACAGTGTTGAAGCATTCTTTTGATAGAGCAGTTTTGAAACACTCTTTTTGTGGAATCTGCAAGTGGATATTTGTCTAGCTTTGAGGATTTCGTTGGAAACGGGATTACATATGAAAAGCAGACAGCAGCATTCTCAGTAAACTTATTTGTGATGTGCGCCCTCAACTAACAGTGTTGAACCTTTCTTTTGATAGAGCAGTTTTGAAACACTCTTTTTGTAATATCTGCAAGAGGATATTTGGATAGCTTTGAGGATTTCGTTGGAAACGGGATTGTCTTCATATAAACTCTAGACAGAAGCATTCTCAGAAGCTTCATTGGGATGTTTCAATTGAAGTCACAGTGTTGAACAGTCCCTTTCATAGAGCAGGTTTGAAACACTCTTTTTGTAGTATCTGGAAGTGGACATTTGGAACGCTCTCAGGACTGCGGTGAAAAAGGAAATATCTTCCAATAAAAGCTAGATAGAAGCAATGTCAGAAACTTTTTCATGATGGATCTACTCAGCTAACACAGTTGAACCTTTCTTTTGAGAGAGCAGTTTTGAAACACTCTTTTTGTGGAATCTGCAAGTGGATATTTGTCTAGCTTTGAGGATTTCGTTGGAAACGGGATTACATATAAAAAGCAGACAGCAGCATTCCCAGAAACTTCTTTGTGATGTTTGCATTCAAGTCACAGAGTTGAACATTCCCTTTCATAGAGCAGGTTTGAAACACTCTTTTTGAAGTATCTGGATGTGGACATTTGGAGCGCTTTCAGGCCTATGGTGAAAAAGGAAATATCTTCCCCTTAAAACTAGACAGAAGCATTCTCAGAAACTTATTTGTGATGTGCGCCCTCAACTAACACTGTTGAACCTTTCTTTTGATAGAGCAGTTTTGAAACACTCTTTTTGTAATATCTGCAAGAGGATATTTGGATAGCTTTGAGGATTTCGTTGGAAACGGGATTGTCTTCATATAAACTCTAGACAGAAGCATTCTCAGAAGCTTCATTGGGATGTTTCAATTGAAGTCACAGTGTTGAACAGTCCCTTTCATAGAGCAGGTTTGAAACACTCTTTTTGTAGTATCTGGATGTGGACATTTGGAGCGCTTTCAGGCCTATGGTTTAAAAGGAAATATCTTCCCCTGAAAACTAGACAGAAGCATTCTCAGAAACTTATTTGTGATGTGCGCCCTCAACTAACAGTGTTGAAGCTTTCTTTTGATAGAGCAGTTTTGAAACACTCTTTTTGTGGAATCTGCAAGTGGATATTTGTCTAGCTTTGAGGATTTCGTTGGAAACGGGATTACATATAAAAAGCAGACAGCTAAGCATTCTCCGAAACTTATTTGTGATGGGCGCCCTCAACTAACAGTGTTGAAGCTTTCTTTTGATAGAGCAGTTTTGAAACACTCTTTTTGTAATATCTGCAAGAGGATATTTGGATAGCTTTCAGGATTTCGTTGGAAACGGGATTGTCTTCATATAAACTCTAGACATAAGCATTCTCAGAAGCTTCATTGGGATGTTTCAATTGAAGTCACATTGTTGAACAGTTCCTTTCATAGAGCAGGTTTGAAACACTCTTTTTGTAGTATCTGGAAGTGGACATTTGGAGCGCTCTCAGGACTAAGGTGATAAAGGAAATATCTTCCAATAAAAGCTAGATTGAAGCAATGTCAGAAAATTTTTCATGATGTATCTACTCAGCTAACAGAGTTGAACCTTTCTTTTGAGAGAGCTGTTTTGAAACACTCTTTTTGTGGAATCTGCAAGTGGATATTTGTCTAGCTTTGAGGATTTCGTTGGAAACGGGATTACATATAAAAAGCAGACAGCAGCATTCCCAGAAACTTCTTTGTGATGTTTGCATTCAGGTCACAGAGTTGAACATTCCCTTTCATAGAGCAGGTTTGAAACACTCTTTTTGTAGTATCTGGATGTGGACATTTGGAGCGCTTTCAGGCCTATGGTGAAAAAGGAAATATCTTCCCCTGAAAACTAGACAGAAGCATTCTCAGAAACTTATTTGTGATGTGCGCCCTCAACTAACAGTGATGAACCTTTCTTTTGATAGAGCCGTTTTGAAACACTCTTTTTGTAAAATCTGCAAGAGGATATTTGGATAGCTTTGAGGATTTCGGTGGAAATGGGATTGTCTTCATATAAACTCTAGACAGTAGCATTCTCAGATGCTTCATTGGGATGTTTCAATTGAAGTCACAGTGTTGAACAGTCCCTTTCATAGAGCAGGTTTGAAACACTCTTTTTGTAGTATCTGGATGTGGACATTTGGAGCGCTTTCAGGCCTATGGTGAAAAAGGAAATATCTTCCCCTGAAAACTAGACAGAAGCATTCTCAGAA
Organism: Homo sapiens; assembly: GCF_000001405.40. Classification (NCBI taxonomy): domain Eukaryota; kingdom Metazoa; phylum Chordata; class Mammalia; order Primates; family Hominidae; genus Homo; species Homo sapiens. The sequence goes on from NC_000002.12 coordinate 93,630,499, forward strand.
ACTTATTTGTGATTTGCGCCCTCAACTAACAGTGTTGAAGCTTTCTTTTGATAGAGCAGTTTTGAAACACTCTTTTTGTGGAATCTGCAAGGGGATATTTGTCTAGCTTTGAGGATTTCGTTGGAAACGGGATTACATATAAAAAGCAGACAGCAGCATTCCCAGAATCTTGTTTGTGATGTTTGCATTCCAGTCACAGAGTTAAACATTCCCTTTCAGAGAGCAGGTTTGAAACACTCTTTTTGTAGTATCTGGATGTGGACATTTGGAGCGCTTTCAGGCCTATGGTGAAAAAGGAAATATCTTCTCCTGAAAACTAGACAGAAGCATTCTCAGAAGCTTCATTGGGATGTTTCACTTGAAGTCACAGTGTTGAACAGTCCCTTTCATAGAGCAGGTTTGAAACACTCTTTTTGTAGTATCTGGAAGTGGACATTTGGAGGGCTCTCAGGACTGCGGTGAAAAAGGAAATATCTTCCAATAAAAGCTAGATAGAAGCAATGTCAGAAACTTTTTCATGATGTATCTACTCAGCTAAAAGAGTTGAACCTTTCTTTTGAGAGAGCAGTTTTGAAACACTATTTTTGTGGAATCTGCAAGTGGATATTTGTCTAGCTTAGAGGATTTCGTTGGAAACGGGATTACATATAAAAAGCAGACAGCAGCATTCCCAGAAACTTCTTTGTGATGTTTGCATTCAAGTCACAGAGTTGAACATTCCCTTTCATAGAGCAGGTTTGAAACACTCTTTTTGTAGTATCTGGATGTGGACATTTGCAGCGCTTTCAGGCCTAAGGTGAAAAAGGAAATATCTTCCCCTGAAAAATAGACAGAAGCATTCTCAGAATCTTATTTGTGATGTGAGCCCTCAACTAACAGTGTTGAAGCTTTCTTTTGATAGAGCAGTTTTGAAACACTCTTTTCGTAAAATCTGCAAGAGGATATTTTGATAGCTTTGAGGATTTCGTTGGAAACGGGATTGTCTTCATATAAACTCTAGACAGAAGCATTCTCAGAAGCTTCAGTGGGATGTTTCAATTGAAGTCACAGTGTTGAACAGTCCCTTTCATAGAGCAGGTTTGAAACACTCTTTTTGTAGTATCTGGAAGTGGACATTTGGAGAGATCTCAGGAATACGGTGATAAAGGAAATATCTTCCAATAAAAGCTAGATAGAAGCATTCTCAGAAACTTATTTGTGATGTGCGCCCTCAACTAACAGTGTTGAACCTTTCTTTTGATAGAGCAGTTTTGAAACACTCTTTTTGTAATATCTGCAAGAGGATATTTGGATAGCTTTGAGGATTTCGTTGGAAACGGGATTACATATAAAAAGCAGACAGCAGCATTCTCAGAAACTTATTTGTGATGTGCGCCCTCAACTAACAGTGTTGAAGCTTTCTTTTGATAGAGCAGTTTTGAAACACTCTTTTTGTAATATCTGCAAGAGGATATTTGGATAGCTTTGAGGATTTCGTTGGAAACGGGATTAATTATACAAAGCAGACAGCAGCATTCTCAAAAGCTTCATTGGGATGTTTCAATTGAAGTCACAGTGTTGAACAGTTCCTTTCATAGAACAGGTTTGAAACACTCTTTTTGTAGTATCTGGAAGTGGACATTTGGAGCGCTCTCAGGACTATGGTGAAAAAGGAAATATCTTCCAATAAAAGCTACATAGAAGCAATGTCAGAAACTTTTTCATGATGTATCTACTCAGCTAACAGAGTTGAACCTTTCCTTTGAGTGAGCAGTTTTGAAACAGTCTTTTTGTGGAATCTGCAAGTGGATATTTGTCTAGCTTTGAGGATTTCGTTGGAAACGGGATTACATATAAAAAGCAGACAGCAGCATTCCCAGAAACTTCTTTGTGATGTTTGCATTCAAGTCACAGAGTTGAACATTCCCTTTCATAGAGCAGGTTTGAAACACTCTTTTTGTAGTATCTGGTTGTGGACATTTGGAGCGCTTTCAGGCCTACGGTGAAAAAGGAAATATCTTCCCCTGAAAACTAGACAGAAGCATTCTCAGAATCTTATTTGTGATGTGCGCCCTCAACTAACAGTGTTGAACCTTTCTTTTGATAGAGCAGTTTTGAAACACTCTTTTTGTAATATCTGCAAGAGGATATTTGGATAGCTTTGAGGATTTCGTTGGAAACGGGATTGTCTTCATATAAACTCTAGACAGAAGCATTCTCAGAAGCTTCATTGGGATGTTTCAATTGAAGTCACAGTGTTGAACAGTCCCTTTCATAGAGCAGGTTTGAAACACTCTTTTTGTAGTATCTGGATGTGGACATTTCGAGCGCTTTCAGGCCTATGGTGAAAAAGGAAATATCTTCCCCTGAAAACTAGACAGAAGCATTCTCAGAAACTTATTTGTGATGTGCCCCCTCAACTAACAGTGTTGAAGCTTTCTTTTGATAGAGCAGTTTTGAAACACTCTTTTTGTGGAATCTGCAAGTGGATATTTGTCTAGCTTTGAGGATTTCGTTGGAAACGGGATTACATATAAAAAGCAGACAGCAGCATTCTCAGAAACTTATTTGTGATGTGCGCCCTCAACTAACAGTGTTGAAGCTTTATTTTGATAGAGCAGTTTTGAAACACTCTTTTTGTAATATCTGCAAGAGAATATTTGGATAGCTTTGAGGATTTCGTTGGAAACGGGATTGTCTTCATATAAACTCTAGAAAGAAGCATTCTCAGAAGCTTCATTGGGATGTTTCAATTGAAGTCACAGTGTTGAACAGTCCCTTTCATAGAGCAGGTTTGAAACACTCTTTTTGTAGTATCTGGAAGTGGACATTTGGAGAGATCTCAGGAATACGGTGATAAAGGAAATATCTTCCAATAAAAGCTAGATAGAAGCAATGTCAGAAACTTTTTCATGATGTATCTACTCAGCTAACAGCAGTTGAACCTTTCTTTTGAGACAGCAGTTTTGAAACACTCTTTTTGTGGAATCTGGAAGTGGATATTTGTCTAGCTTTGAGGATTTCGTTGGAAACGGGATTACATATAAAAAGCAGACAGCAGCATTCCCAGAAACTTCTTTGTGATGTTTGCTTTCAAGTCACAGAGTTGAACATTCCCTTTCGTAGAGCAGGTTTGAAACACTCTTTTTGTAGTATCTGGATGTGGACATTTGGAGCGCTTTCAGGCCTATGGTGAAAAAGGAAATATCTTCCCCTGAAAACTAGACAGAAGCTTTCTCAGAATCTTATTTGTGATGTGCGCCCTCAACTAACAGTGTTGAAGCTTTCTTTTGATAGAGCAGTTTTGAAACACTCTTTTCGTAAAATCTGCAAGAGGATATTTTGATAGCTTTGAGGATTTCGTTGGAAACGGGATTGTCTTCATATAAACTCTAGACAGAAGCATTCTCAGAAGCTTCATTGGGATGTTTCAATTGAAGTCACAGTGTTGAACAGTCCCTTTCATAGAGCAGGTTTGAAACACTCTTTTTGTAGTATCTGGATGTGGACATTTGGAGCGCTTTCAGGCCTATGGTGAAAAAGGAAATATCTTCCCCTGAAAACTAGACAGAAGCATTCTCAGAAACTTATTTGTGATGTGCGCCTTCAACTAACAGTGTTGAAGCATTCTTTTGATAGAGCAGTTTTGAAACACTCTTTTTGTGGAATCTGCAAGTGGATATTTGTCTAGCTTTGAGGATTTCGTTGGAAACGGGATTACATATAAAAAGCAGACAGCAGCATTCTCAGAAACTTATTTGTGATGTGCGCCCTCAACTAACAGTGTTGAAGCTTTCTTTTGATAGAGCAGTTTTGAAACACTCTTTTTGTAATATCTGCAAGAGGATATTTGGATAGCTTTGAGGATTTCGTTGGAAACGGGATTAATTATACAAAGCAGACAGCAGCATTCTCAGAAGCTTCATTGGGATATTTCAATTGAAGTCACAGTGTTGAACAGTCCCTTTCATAGAGCAGGTTTGAAACACTCTTTTTGTAGTATCGGGAAGTGGACATTTGGAGAGATCTCAGGACTACGGTGAAAAAGGAAATATCTTCCAATAAAAGCTAGATAGAAGCAATGTCAGAAACTTTTTCATGATGTATCTACTCAGCTAAAAGAGTTGAACCTTTCTTTTGAGAGAGCAGTTTTGAAACACTCTTTTTGTGGAATCTGCAAGTGGATATTTGTCTAGCTTTGAGGATTTCGTTGGAAACGGGATTACATATAAAAAGCAGACAGCAGCAATCCCAGTAACTTCTTTGTGATGTTTGCATTCAAGTCACAGAGTTGAACATTCCCTTTCATAGAGCAGTTTTGAAACTCTCTTTTTGTAGTATCTGGATGTGGACATTTGGAGCGCTTTCAGGCCTATGGTGAAAAAGGAAATATCTTCCCCTGAAAACTAGACAGAAGCATTCTCAGAATCTTATTTGTGATGTGCGCCCTCAACTAACAGTGTTGAAGCTTTCTTTTGATAGAGCAGTTTTGAAACAGTCTTTTTGTAAAATCTGCAAGAGGATATTTGGATAGCTTTGAGGATTTCGTTGGAAACGGGATTGTCTTCATATAAACTCTAGACAGAAGCATTCTCAGAAGCGTCATTGGGATGTTTCAATTGAAGTCACAGTGTTGAACAGTCCCTTTCATAGAGCAGGTTTGAAACACTCTTTTTGTAGTATCTGGATGTGGACATTTGGAGCGCTTTCAGGCCTATGGTTTAAAAGGAAATATCTTCCCCTGAAAACTAGACAGAAGCATTCTCAGAAACTTATTTCTGATGTGCCCCCTCAACTAACAGTGTTGAAGCTTTCTTTTGATAGAGCAGTTTTGAAACACTCTTTTTGTGGAATCTGCAAGTGGATATTTGTCTAGCTTTGAGGATTTCGTTGGAAACGGGATTACATATAAAAAGCAGACAGCAGCATTCTCAGCAAACTTATTTGTGATGTGCGCCCTCAACTAACAGTGTGGAACTTTTCTTTTGATAGAGCAGTTTTGAAACACTCTTTTTGTAAAATCTGCAAGAGGATATTTGGATAGCTTTGAGGATTTCGTTGGAAACGGGATTGTCTTCATATAGAATCTAGACAGAAGCATTCTCAGAAGCTTCATTGGGATGTTTCAATTGAAGTCACAGTGTTGAACAGTCCCTTTCATAGAGCAGGTTTGAAACACTCTTTTTGTAGTATCTGGAAGTGGACAATTGGAGCGCTCTCAGGACTACGGTGAAAAAGGAAATATCTTCCAATAAAAGCTAGATAGAAGCAATGTCAGAAACTTTTTCATGATGTATCTACTCAGCTAACAGAGTTGAAACTTTTTTTTGACAGAGCAGTTTTGAAACACTCTTTTTGTGGAATCTGCAGGTGGATATTTGTCTAGCTTTGAGGATTTCGTTGGAAACGGGATTACATATAATAAGCAGACAGCAGCATTCCCAGAAACTTCATTGTGATGTTTGCATTCAAGTCACAGAGTTGAACATTCCCTTTCATAGAGCAGGTTTGAAACATTCTTTTTGTAGTATCTGGATGTGGACATTTGGAGCGCTTTCAGGCCTATGGTGAAAAAGGAAATATCTTCCCCTGAAAACTAGACAGAAGCATTCTCAGAAACTTATTTGTGATGTGCGCCCTCAACTAACAGTGTTGAAGCTTTCTTTTGATAGAGCAGTTTTGAAACACTCTTTTTGTAAAATCTGCAAGAGGATATTTGGATAGCTTTGAGGATTTCGTTGGAAACGGGATTGTCTTCATATAAAATCTAGACAGAAGAATTCTCAGAAGCTTCATTGGGATGTTTCAATTGAAGTCACAGTGTTGAACAGTCCCTTTCATAGAGCAGGTTTGAAACACTCTTTTTGTAGTATCTGGATGTGGACATTTGGAGCGTTTGCAGGCCTATGGTTTAAAAGGAAATATCTTCCCCTGAAAACTAGACAGAAGCATTCTCAGAAACTTATTTGTGATGTGCACCCTCAACTAACAGTGTTGAACCTTTCTTTTGATAGAGCACTTTTGAAACACTCTTTTTGTAATATCTGCAAGAGGATATTTGGATAGCTTTGAGGATTTCGTTGGAAACGGGATTACATATAAAAAGCAGACAGCAGCATTCTCAGCAAACTTATTTGTGATGTGCGCCCTCAACTAACAGTGTGGAACTTTTCTTTTGATAGAGCAGTTTTGAAACACTCTTTTTGTAAAATCTGCAAGAGGATATTTGGATAGCTTTGAGGATTTCGTTGGAAACGGGATTGTCTTCATATAGAATCTAGACAGAAAGCATTCTCAGAAGCTTCATTGGGATGTTTCAATTGAAGTCACAGTGTTGAACAGTCCCTTTCATAGAGCAGGTTGGAAACACTCTTTTTGTAGTATCTGGAAGTGGACATTTGGAGCACTCTCAGGACTACGGTGAAAAAGGAAATATCTTCCAATAAAAGCTAGATAGAAGCAATGTCAGAAACTTTTTCATGATGTATCTACTCAGCTAACAGAGTTGAACCTTCCTTTGAGAGAGCAGTTTTGAAACACTCTTTTTGTGGAATCTGCAAGTGGATATTTGTCTAGCTTTGAGGATTTCGCTGGAAACCGGATTACATATAAAAAGCAGACAGCAGCATTCCCAGAAACTTCTTTGTGATGTTTGCATTCAACTCACAGAGTTGAACATTCCCTTTCATAGAGCAGGTTTGAAACACTCTTTTTGTAGTATCTGGATGTGGACATTTGGAGCGCTTTCAGGCCTATGGTGAAAAAGGAAATATCTTCCCCTGAAAACTAGACAGAAGCATTCTCAGAATCTTATTTGTGATGTGCGCCCTCAACTAACAGTGTTGAAGCTTTCTTTTGATAGAGCAGTTTTGAAACACTCTTTTTGTAAAATCTGCAAGAGGATATTTGGATAGCTTTGAGGATTTCGTTGGAAACGGGATTGTCTTCATATAAACTCCAGACAGAAGCATTCTCAGAAGCTTCATTGGGATGTTTCAATTGAAGTCACAGTGTTGAACAGTCCCTTTCATAGAGCAGGTTTCAAACACTCTTTTTGTAGTATCTGGATGTGGACATTTGGAGCGCTTTCAGGCCTATGGTTTAAAAGGAAATATCTTCCCCTGAAAACTAGACAGAAGCATTCTCAGAAACTTATTTGTGATGTGCGCCCTCAACTAACAGTGTTGAAGCATTCTTTTGATAGAGCAGTTTTGAAAAACTCTTTTTGTGGAATCTGCAAGTGGATATTTGTCTAGCTTTGAGGATTTCGTTGGAAACGGGATTTCATATAAAAAGCAGACAGCTAAGCATTCTCCGAAACTTATTTGTGATGGGCGCCCTCAACTAACAGTGTTGAAGCTTTCTTTTGATAGAGCAGTTTTGAAACACTCTTTTTGTAATATCTGCAAGAGGATATTTGGATAGCTTTCAGGATTTCGTTGGAAACGGGATTGTCTTCATATAAACTCTAGACATAAGCATTCTCAGAAGCTTCATTGGGATGTTTCAATTGAAGTCACAGTGTTGAACAGTTCCTTTCATAGAACAGGTTTGAAACACTCTTTTTGTAGTATCTGGAAGTGGACATTTGGAGCGCTCTCAGGACTATGGTGAAAAAGGAAATATCTTCCAATAAAAGCTACATAGAAGCAATGTCAGGAAACATTTTCATGATGTATCTACTCAGCTAACAGAGTTGAACCTTTCTTTTGAGAGAGCAGTTTTGAAACACTCTTTTTGTGGAATCTGCAAGTGGATATTTGTCTAGCTTTGAGGATTTCGTTGGAAACGGGATTACATATAAAAAGCAGACAGCAGCATTCCCAGAATCTTGTTTGTGATGTTTGCATTCAAGTCACAGAGTTGAACATTCCCTTTCAGAGAGCAGGTTTGAAACACTCTTTTTGTAGTATCTGTATGTGGACATTTGGAGCGCTTTCAGGCCTATGGTGAAAAAGGAAATATCTTCCCCTGAAAACTAGACAGAAGCATTCTCAGAATCTTATTTGTGATGTGCGCCCTCAACTAACAGTGTTGAAGCTTTCTTTTGATAGAGCAGTTTTGAAACACTCTTTTTGTGAAATCTGCAAGAGGATATTTGGATAGCTTTGAGGATTTAATTGGAAACGGGATTGTCTTCATATAAACTCTAGACAGAAGCATTCTCAGAAGCTTCATTGGGATGTTTCAATTGAATTCACAGTGTTGAACAGTCCCTTTCATAGAGCAGGTTTGAAACACTCTTTTTGTAGTATCTGGAAGTGGACCTTTGGAGCGCTCTCAGGACTGCAGTGAAAAAGGAAATATCTTCCAATAAAAGGTAGATAGAAGCAATGTCAGAAACTTTTTCATGATGTATCTACTCAGGTAACAGAGTTGAACCTTTCTTTTGAGAGAGCAGTTTTGAAACACTCTTTTTGTGGAATCTGCAAATGGATATTTGTCTAGCTTTGAGGATTTCGTTGGAAACGGGATTACATATGAAAAGCAGACAGCAGCATTCCCAGTAACTTCTTCGTGGTGTTTGCATTCAAGTCACAGAGTTGAACATTCCCTTTCATAGAGCAGGTTTGAAACACTCTTTTTGTAGTATCTGGATGTGGACATTTGGAGCGCTTTCAGGCCTATGGTGAAAAAGGAAATATCTTCCCCTGAAAACTAGACAGAAGCATTCTCAGAATCTTATTTGTGATGTGCGCCCTCAACTAACAGTGTTGAAGCTTTCTTTTGATAGAGCAGTTTTGAAACACTCTTTTTGTAAAATCTGCAAGAGGATATTTGGATAGCTTTGAGGATTTCGTTGGAAACGGGATTGTCTTCATATAAACTCTAGACAGAAGCATTCTCACAAGCTTCATTGGGATGTTTCAATTGAAGTCACAGTGTTGAACAGTCCCTTTCATAGAGCAGGTTTGAAACACTCTTTTTGTAGTATCTGGAAGTGGACATTTGGAGAGATCTCAGGAATACGGTGATAAAGGAAATATCTTCCAATAAAAGCTAGATAGAAGCAATGTCAGAAACTTTTTCATGATGTATCTACTCAGCTAACAGAGTTGAACCTTTCTTTTGAGAGAGCAGTTTTGAAACACTCTTTTTGTGGAATCTGCAAGTGGATATTTGTCTAGCTTTGAGGACTTCGTTGGAAACGGGATTACATATAAAAAGCAGACAGCAGCATTCCCAGAAACTTCTTTGTGATATTTGCATTCAAGTCACAGACTTGAACATTCCCTTTCATAGAGCAGGTTTGAAACACTCTTTTTGTAGTATCTGGATGTGGACATTTGGAGCGCTTTCAGGCCTATGGTGAAAAAGGAAATATCTTCCCCTGAAAACTAGACAGAAGCATTCTCAGAAACTTATTTGTGATGTGCGCCCTCAACTAACAGTGTTGAAGCTTTCTTTTGATAGAGCAGTTTTGAAACACTCTTTTTGTAAAATCTGCAAGAGGATATTTGGATAGCTTTGAGGATTTCTTTGGAAACTGGATTGTCTTCATATAAACTCTAGACAGAAGCATTCTCAGAAGCTTCATTGGGATGTTTCAATTGAAGTCACAGTGTTGAACAGTCCCTTTCATAGAGCAGGTTTGAAACACTCTTTTTGTAGTATCTGGATGTGGACATTTGGAGCGCTTTCAGGCATATGGTGAAAAAGGAAATATCTTCCCCTGAAAACTAGACAGAAGCATTCTCAGAAACTTATTTGTGATGTGCGCCCTCAACTAACAGTGTTGAAGCATTCTTTTGATAGAGCAGTTTTGAAACACTCTTTTTGTGGAATCTGCAAGTGGATATTTGTCTAGCTTTGAGGATTTCGTTGGAAACGGGATTACATATAAAAAGCAGACAGCAGCATTCTCAGTAAACTTATTTGTGATGTGCGCCCTCAACTAACAGTGTTGAACCTTTCTTTTGATAGAGCAGTTTTGAAACACTCTTTTTGTAATATCTGCAAGAGGATATTTGGATAGCTTTGAGGATTTCGTTGGAAACGGGATTGTCTTCATATAAACTCTAGACAGAAGCATTCTCAGAAGCTTCATTGGGATGTTTCAATTGAAGTCACAGTGTTGAACAGTCCCTTTCATAGAGCAGGTTTGAAACACTCTTTTTGTAGTATCTGGAAGTGGACATTTGGAGAGATCTCAGGACTACGGTGAAAAAGGAAATATCTTCCAATAAAAGCTAGATAGAAGCAATGTCAGAAACACTTTCATGATGTATCTACTCAGCTAACAGAGTTGAAACTTTCTTTTGAGAGAGCAGTTTTGAAACATTCTTTTTGTGGAATCTGCAAGTGGATATTTTTCTAGCTTTGAGGATTTCGTTGGAAACGGGATTACATATAAAAAGCAGACAGCTGCATTCCCAGAAACTTCTTTGTGATGTTTGCATTCAAGTCACAGAGTTTAACATTCCCTTTCATAGAGCAGGTTTGAAACACTCTTTTTGTAGTATCTGGATGTGGACATTTGGAGCGCTTTCAGGCCTATGGTGAAAAAGGAAATATCTTCCCCTGAAAACTAGACAGAAGCATTCTCAGAATCTTATTTGTGATGTGCGCCCTCAATTAACAGTGTTGAAGCTTTCTTTTGATAGAGCAGTTTTGAAACACTCTTTTTGTAAAATCTGCAAGAGGATATTTGGATAGCTTTGAGGATTTCGTTGGAAACGGGATTGTCTTCATATAGAATCTAGACAGAAGCATTCTCAGAAGCTTCATTGGGATGTTTCAATTGAAGTCACAGTGTTGAACAGTCCCTTTCATAGAGCAGGTTTGAAACACTCTTTTTGTAGTATCTGGATGTGGACATTTGGAGTGCTTTCAGGCCTATGGTTTAAAAGGAAATATCTTCCCCTGAAAACTGGACAGAAGCATTCTCAGAAACTTATTTGTGATGTGCGCCCTCAACTAACAGTGTTGAAGCATTCTTTTGATAGAGCAGTTTTGAAACACTCTTTTTGTGGAATCTGCAAGTGGATGTTTGTCTAGCTTTGAGGATTTCGTTGGAAACGGGATTACATATAAAAAGCAGACAGCAGCATTCTCAGAAACTTATTTGTGATGTGCTCCCTCAACTAACAGTGTTAAACCTTTCTATTGATAGAGTAGTTTTGAAACACTCTTTTTGTAAAATCTGCAAGAGGATATTTGGATAGCTTTGAGGATTTCGTTGGAAACGGGATTGTCTTCATATAAAATCTAGACAGAAGCATTCTCAGAAGCTTCATTGGGATGTTTCAATTGAAGTCACAGTGTTGAACAGTCCCTTTCATAGAGCAGGTTTGAAACACTCTTTTTGTAGTATCTGGAAGTGGACATTTGGAGCAGTCTCAGGACTACGGTGAAAAGGGAATTATCTTCCAATAAAAGCTAGATAGAAGCAATGTCAGAAACTTTTTCATGATGTATCTACTCAGCTAACAGAGGTGAACCTTTCCTTTGAGAGAGCAGTTTTGAAACACTCTTTTTGTGGAATCTGCAAGTGGATATTTGTCTAACTTTGAGGATTTCGTTGGAAACGGGATTACATATAAAAAGCAGACAGCAGCATTCCCAGAAAGCTCTTTGTGAAATTTGCATTCAAGTCACAGACTTGAACATTCCCTTTCATAGAGCAGGTTTGAAACACTCTTTTTGTAGTATCTGGATGTGGACATTTGGAGCGCTTTCAGGCCTATGGTGAAAAAGGAAATATCTTCCCCTGTAAACTAGACAGAAGCATTCTCAGAAACTTATTTGTGATGTGCGCCCTCAACTAAAAGTGTTGAACCTTTCTTTTGATAGAGCAGTTTTGAAACACTCTTTTGTAAAATCTGCAAGAGGATATTTGGATAGCTTTGAGGATTTCGTTGGAAACGGGATTGTCTTCATATAGAATCTAGACAGAAGCATTCTCAGAAGCTTCATTGGGATGTTTCAATTGAAGTCACAGTGTTGAACAGTCCCTTTCATAGAGCAGGTTTGAAACACTCTTTTTGTAGTATCTGGAAGTGGACATTTGGAGCGTTCTCAGGACTAGAGTGAAAAAGGAAATATCTTCCAATAAAAGCTAGATAGAAGCAATGTCAGAAACTTTTTCATGATGTATCTACTCAGCTAACAGAGTTGAACCTTCCTTTGAGAGAGCAGTTTTGAAACACTCTTTTTGTGGAATCTGCAAGGGGATATTTGCCTAGCTTTGAGGATTTCGTTGGAAACGGGATTACATATAAAAAGCAGACAGCAGCATTCCCAGAATCTTGTTTGTGATGTTTGCATTCAAGTCACAGAGTTGAACATTCCCTTTCAGAGAGCAGGTTTGAAACACTCTTTTTGTAGTATCTGGAAGTGGACATTTTGAGAGATCTCAGGAATACGGTGATAAAGGAAATATCTTCCAATAAAAGCTAGATAGAAGCATTCTCAGAAACTTATTTGTGATGTGCGCCCTCAGCTAACAGTGTTGAAGCTTTCTTTTGATAGAGCAGTTTTGAAACACTCTTTTTGTAAAATCTGCAAGAGGATATTTGGATAGCTTTGAGGATTTCGTTGGAAACGGGATTGTCTTCATATAAACTCTAGACAGAAGCATTCTCAGAAGCTTCATTGGGATGTTTCAATTGAAGTTGCAGTGTTGAACAGTCCCTTTCATAGAGCAGGTTTGAAACACTCTTTTTGTAGTATCTGGATGTGGACATTTGGAGCGCTTTCAGGCCTATGGTTTAAAAGGAAATATCTTCCCCTGAAAACTAGACAGAAGCATTCTCAGAAACTTATTTGTGATGTGCGCCTTCAACTAACAGTGTTGAAGCATTCTTTTGATAGAGCAGTTTTGAAACACTCTTTTTGTGGAATCTGCAAGTGGATATTTGTCTAGCTTTGAGGATTTCGTTGGAAACGGGATTACATATAAAAAGCAGACAGCAGCATTCTCAGTAAACTTATTTGTGATGTGCGCCCTCAACTAACAGTGTTGAACCTTTCTTTTGATAGAGCAGTTTTGAAACACTCTTTTTGTAATATCTGCAAGAGGATATTTGGATAGCTTTGAGGATTTCGTTGGAAACGGGATTGTCTTCATATAAACTCTAGACAGAAGCATTCTCAGAAGCTTCATTGGGATGTTTCAATTGAAGTCACAGTGTTGAACAGTCCCTTTCATAGAGCAGGTTTGAAACACTCTTTTTGTAGTATCTGGAAGTGGACATTTGGAGCGCTCTCAGGACTACGGTGAAAAAGGAAATATCTTCCAATAAAAGCTACATAGAAGCAATGTCAGAAACTTTTTCATGATGTATCTACTCAGCTAACAGAGTTGAACCTTTCTTTTGAGAGAGCAGTTTTGAAACACTCTTTTTGTGGAATCTGCAAGTGGATATTTGTCTAGCTTTGAGGATTTCGTTGGAAACGGGATTACATATAAAAAGCAGACAGCAGCATTCCCAGAATCTTCTTTGTGATGTTTGCATTCAAGTCACAGAGTTGAACATTCCCTTTCATAGAGCAGGTTTGAAACACTCTTTTTGTAGTATCTGGATGTGGACATTTGGAGCGCTTTCAGGCCTATTGTGAAAAAGGAAATATCTTCCCCTGAAAACTAGACAGAAGCATTCTCAGAATCTTATTTGTGATGTGCGCCCTCAACTAACAGTGTTGAAGCTTTCTTTTGATAGAGCCGTTTTGAAACACTCTTTTTGTAATATCTGCAAGAGGATATTTGGATAGCTTTGAGGATTTCGTTGGAAACGGGATTGTCTTCATATAAACTCTAGACAGAAGCATTCTCAGAAGCTTCATTGGGATGTTTCAATTGAAGTCACAGTGTTGAACAGTCCCTTTCATAGAGCAGGTTTGAAACACTCTTTTTGTAGTATCTGGATGTGGACATTTGGAGCGCTTTCAGGCCTATGGTTTAAAAGGAAATATCTTCCCCTGAAAACTAGACAGAAGCATTCTCAGAAACTTATTTGTGATGTGCGCCCTCAACTAACAGTGTTGAAACTTTCTTTTGATAGAGCAGTTTTGAAACACTCTTTTTGTGGAATCTGCAAGTGGATATTTGTCTAGCTTTGAGGATTTCGTTGGAAACGGGATTACATATAAAAAGCAAACAGCAGCATTCTCAGAAACTTATTTGTGATGTGCGCCCTCAACTAACACTGTTGAACCTTTCTTTTGATAGAGCAGTTTTGAAACACTCTTTTTGTAATATCTGCAAGAGGATATTTGGATAGCTTTGAGGATTTCGTTGGAAACGGGATTGTCTTCACATAAACTCTAGACAGAAGCATTCTCAGAAGCTTCATTGGGATGTTTCAATTGAAGTCACAGTGTTGAACAGTCCCTTTCATAGAGCAGGTTTGAAACACTCTTTTTGTAGTATCTGGAAGTGGACATTTGGAGAGATCTCAGGAATACGGTGATAAAGGAAATATCTTCCAATAAAAGCTAGATAGAAGCAATGTCAGAAACTTTTTCGTGATGTATCTACTCAGCTAACAGCTTTGAACCTTTCTTTTGAGAGAGCAGTTTTGAAACACTCTTTTTGTGGAATCTGCAAGTGGATATTTGTCTAGCTTTGAGGATTTCGTTGGAAACGGGATTACATATAAAAAGCAGACAGCAGCATTCCCAGAAACTTCTTTGTGATGTTTGCATTCAAGTCACAGAGTTGAACATTCCCTTTCATAGAGCAGGTTTGAAACACTCTTTTTGTAGTATCTGGATGTGGACATTTGCAGCGCTTTCAGGCCTAAGGTGAAAAAGGAAATATCTTCCCCTGAAAACTAGACAGAAGCATTCTCAGAATCTTATTTGTGATGTGCGCCCTCAACTAACAGTGTTGAAGCTTTCTTTTGATAGAGCAGATTTGAAACACTCTTTTTGTAAAATCTGCAAGAGGATATTTGCATAGCTTTGAGGATTTCGTTGGAAACGGGATTGTCTTCATAGAAACTCTAGACAGAAGCATTCTCAGATGCTTCATTGGGATGTTTCAATTGAAGTCACAGTGTTGAACAGTCCCTTTCATAGAGCAGGTTTGAAACACTCTTTTTGTAGTATCTGGATGTGGACATTTGGAGCGCTTTCAGGCCTATGGTAAAAAAGGAAATATCTTCCCCTGAAAACTAGACAGAAGCATTCTCAGAAACTTATTTGTGATGTGCGCCCTCAACTAACAGTGTTGAAGCTTTCTTTTGATAGAGCAGTTTTGAAACACTCTTTTTGTGGAATCTGCAAGTGGATATTTGTCTAGCTTTGAGGATTTCGTTGGAAACGGGATTACATATAAAAAGCAGACAGCAGCATTCTCAGTAAACTTATTTGTGATGTGCGCCCTCAACTAACAGTGTTGAACCTTTCTTTTGATAGAGCAGTTTTGAAACACTCTTTTTGTAATATCTGCAAGAGGATATTTGGATAGCTTTGAGGATTTCGTTGGAAACGGGATTGTCTTCATATAAACTCTAGACAGAAGCATTCTCAGAAGCTTCATTGGGATGTTTCAATTGAAGTCACAGTGTTGAACAGTCCCTTTCATAGAGCAGGTTTGAAACACTCTTTTTGTAGTATCTGGAAGTGGACATTTGGAACGCTCTCAGGACTGCGGTGAAAAAGGAAATATCTTCCAATAAAAGCTAGATAGAAGCAATGTGAGAAACTTTTTCATGATGTATCTACTCAGCTAAAAGAGTTGAACCTTTCTTTTGAGAGAGCAGTTTTGAAACACTCTTTTTGTGGAATCTGCAAGTGGATATTTGTCTAGCTTTGAGGATTTCTTTGGAAACGGGAATACATATAAAAAGCAGACAGCAGCATTCCCAGAATCTTGTTTGTGATGTTTGCATTCAAGTCACAGAGTTGAACATTCCCTTTCATAGAGCAGGTTTGAAACACTCTTTTTATAGTATCTGGATGTGGACATTTGGAGCGCTTTCAGGCCTATGGTGAAAAAGGAAATATCTTCTCCTGAAAACTAGACAGAAGCATTCTCAGAAACTTATTTGTGATGTGCGCCGTCAAGTAACAGTGTTAAACCTTTCCTTTGATAGAGTAGTTTTGAAACACTCTTTTTGTAAAATCTGCAAGAGGATATTTGGATAGCTTTGAGGATTTCGTTGGAAACGGGATTGTCTTCATATAAAATCTAGACAGAAGCATTCTCAGAAGCTTCATTGGGATGTTTCAATTGAAGTCACAGTGTTGAACAGTCCCTTTCATAGAGCAGGTTTGAAACACTCTTTTTGTAGTATCTGGATGTGGACATTTGGAGCGCTTTCAGGCCTATGGTTTAAAAGGAAATATCTTCCCCTGAAAACTAGACAGAAGCATTCTCAGAAACTTATTTGTGATGTGCGCCCTCAACTAACAGTGTTGAAGCTTTCTTTTGATAGAGCAGTTTTGAAACACTCTTTTTGTGGAATCTGCAGGTGGATATTTGTCTAGCTTTGAGGATTTCGTTGGAAACGGGATTACATATAAAAAGCAGACAGCAGCATTCTCAGTAAACTTATTTGTGATGTGCGCCCTCAACTAACAGTGTTGAACCTTTCTTTTGATAGAGCAGTTTTGAAACACTCTTTTTGTAATATCTGCAAGAGGATATTTGGATAGCTTTGAGGATTTCGTTGGAAACGGGATTGTCTTCATATAAACTCTAGACAGAATCATTCTCAGAAGCTTCATTGGGATGTTTCAATTGAAGTCACAGTGTTGAACAGTCCCTTTCATAGAGCAGATTTGAAACACTCTTTTTGTAGTATCTGGAAGTGGACATTTGGAGCGTTCTCAGGACTACAGTGAAAAAGGAAATATCTTCCAAGAAAAGCTAGATAGAAGCAATATCAGAAACTTTTTCATGATGTATCTACTCAGCTAAAAGAGTTGAACCTTTCTTTTGGGAGAGCAGTTTTGAAACACTATTTTTGTGGAATCTGCAAGTGGATATTTGTCTAGTTTTGAGGATCGCATTGGAAACGGGATTACATATAAAAAGCAGACAGCAGCATTCCCAGAAATTTCTTTGTGAAATTTGCATTCAAGTCACAGACTTGAACATTCCCTTTCATAGAGCAGGTTTGAAACACTCTTTTTGTAGTATCTGGATGTGGACATTTGGAGCGCTTTCAGGCCTATGGTGAAAAAGGAAATATCTTCCCCTGAAAACTAGACAGAAGCATTCTCAGAAACTTATTTGTGATGTGCGCCCTCAACTAACAGTGTTGAAGCTTTCTTTTGATAGAGCAGTTTTGAAACACTCTTTTTGTAATATCTGCAAGAGGATATTTGGATAGCTTTGAGGATTTCGTTGGAAACGGGATTGTCTTCATATAAACTCTAGACAGAAGTATTCTCAGAAAGCTTCATTGGGATGTTTCAATTGAAGTCACAGTGTTGAACAGTCCCTTTCATAGAGCAGGTTTGAAACACTCTTTTTGTAGTATCCGGATGTGGACATTTGGAGCGCTTTCAGGCCTATGGTGAAAAAGGAAATATCTTCCCCTGAAAACTAGACAGAAGCATTCTCAGAAACTTATTTGTGATGTGCGCCCTCAACTAACAGTGTTGAAGCATTCTTTTGATAGAGCAGTTTTGAAACACTCTTTTTGTGGAATCTGCAAGTGGATATTTGTCTAGCTTTGAGGATTTCGTTGGAAACGGGATTACATATAAAAAGCAGACAGCAGCATTCTCAGCAAACTTATTTGTGATGTGCGCCCTCAACTAACAGTGTGGAACTTTTCTTTTGATAGAGCAGTTTTGAAACACTCTTTTTGTAAAATCTGCAAGAGGATATTTGGATAGCTTTGAGGATTTCGTTGGAAACGGGATTGTCTTCATATAGAATCTAGACAGAAGCATTCTCAAAAGCTTCATTGGGATGTTTCAACTGAAGTCACAGTGTTGAACAGTCCCTTTCATAGAGCAGGTTTGAAACACTCTTTTGGTAGTATCTGGAAGTGGACATTTGGAGCGCTCTCAGGACTGCGGTGAAAAAGGAATTATCTTCCAATAAAAGCTAGATAGAAGCAATGTCAGAAACTTTTTCATGACGTATCTACTCAGCTAACAGAGTTAAACCTTTCTTTTGAGAGAGCAGTTTTGAAACACTCTTTTTGTGGAATCTGCAAGTGGATATTTGTCTAGATTTGAGGATTTCGTTGGAAACGGGATTACATATAAAAAGCAGACAGCAGCATTCCCAGAATCTTCTTTGTGATGTTTGCATTCAAGTCACAGAGTTGAACATTCCCTTTCAGAGAGCAGGTTTGAAACACTCTTTTTATAGTATCTGGATGTGGACATTTGGAGGGCTTTCAGGCCTATGGTGAAAAAGGAAATATCTTCTCCTGAAATCTAGACAGAAGCTTTCTCAGAATCTTATTTGTGATGTGCGCCCTCAACTAACAGTGTTGAAGCTTTCTTTTGATAGAGCAGTTTTGAAACACTCTTTTTGTAAAATCTGCAAGAGGATATTTGGATAGCTTTGAGGATTTCGTTGGAAACGGGATTGTCTTCATATAAACTCTAGACAGAAGCATTCTCAGAAGCTTCATTGGGATGTTTCAATTGAAGTCACAGTGTTGAACAGTCCCTTTCATAGAGCAGGTTTGAAACACTCTTTTTGTAGTATCTGGATGTGGACATTTGGAGCGCTTTCAGGCCTATGGTGAAAAAGGAAATATCTTCCCCTGAAAACTAGACAGAAGCATTCTCAGAAACTTATTTGTGATGTGTGCCCTCAACTAACAGTGTTGAAGCTTTCTTTTGATAGAGCAGTTTTGAAACACTCTTTTTGTAATATCTGCAAGAGGATATTTGGATAGCTTTGAGGATTTCGTTGGAAACGGGATTAATTATACAAAGCAGACAGCAGCATTCTCAGAAACTTATTTGTGATGTGCGCCCTCAACTAACAGTGTTGAAGCTTTCTTTTGATAGAGCAGTTTTGAAACACTCTTTTTGTAATATCTGCAAGAGGATATTTGGATAGCTTTGAGGATTTCGTTGGAAACGGGATTAATTATACAAAGCAGACAGCAGCATTCTCAGAAGCTTCATTGGGATGTTTCAACTGAAGTCACAGTCTTGAACATTCCCTTTCATAGAGCAGGTTTGAAACACTCTTTTTGTAGTATCTGGAAGTGGACATTTGGAGCGCTCTCAGGACTACGGTGAAAAAGGAAATATCTTCCAATAAAAGCTAGATAGAAGCAATGTCAGAAACTTTTTCATGATGTATCTACTCAGCTAACAGAGTTGAACCTTTCTTTTGAGAGAGCAGTTTTGAAACACTCTTTTTGTGGAATCTGCAAGTGGATATTTGTCTAGCATTGAGGATTTCGTTGGAAACGGGATTACATATAAAAAGCAGACAGCAGCATTCCCAGAAACTTCTTTGTGATATTTGCATTCAAGTCACAGAGTTGAACATTCCCTTTCATAGAGCAGGTTTGAAACACTCTTTTTGTAGTATCTGGATTTGGACATTTGGAGCGCTTTCAGGCCTATGGTGAAAACGGAAATATCTTCCCCTGAAAACTAGACAGAAGCATTCTCAGAATCTTATTTGTGATGTGCGCCCTCAACTAACAGTGTTGAAGCTTTCTTTTGATAGAGCAGTTTTGAAACACTCTTTTTGTAAAATCTGCAAGAGGATATTTGGATAGCTTTGAGGATTTCGTTGGAAACGGGATTGTCTTCATATAAACTCTAGACAGAAGCATTCTCAGATGCTTCATTGGGATGTTTCAATTGAAGTCACAGTGTTGAACAGTCCCTTTCATAGAGCAGGTTTGAAACACTCTTTTTGTAGTATCTGGATGTGGACATTTGGAGCGCTTTCAGGCCTATGGTGAAAAAGGAAATATCTTCCCCTGAAAACTAGACAGAAGCATTCTCAGAAACTTATTTGTGATGTGTGCCCTCAACTAACAGTGTTGAAGCTTTCTTTTGATAGAGCAGTTTTGAAACACTCTTTTTGTAATATCTGCAAGAGGATATTTGGATAGCTTTGAGGATTTCGTTGGAAACGGGATTAATTATACAAAGCAGACAGCTAAGCATTCTCCGAAACTTATTTGTGATGGGCGCCCTCAACTAACAGTGTTGAAGCTTTCTTTTGATAGAGCAGTTTTGAAACACTCTTTTTGTAATATCTGCAAGAGGATATTTGGATAGCTTTCAGGATTTCGTTGGAAACGGGATTGTCTTCATATAAACTCTAGACATAAGCATTCTCAGAAGCTTCTTTGGGATGTTTCAATTGAAGTCACAGTGTTGAACAGTTCCTTTCATAGAACAGGTTTGAAACACTCTTTTTGTAGTATCTGGAAGTGGACATTTGGAGCGCTCTCAGGACTATGGTGAAAAAGGAAATATCTTCCAATAAAAGCTACATAGAAAGCAATGTCAGAAACTTTTTCATGATGTATCTACTCAGCTAACAGAGTTGAACCTTTCCTTTGAGAGAGCAGTTTTGAAACACTCTTTTTGTGGAATCTGCAAGTGGATATTTGTCTAGCTTTGAGGATTTCGTTGGAAACGGGATTACATATAAAAAGCAGACAGCAGTATTCCCAGAAACTTCTTTGTGATGTTTGCATTCAAGTCACAGAGTTGAACATTCCCTTTCATAGAGCAGGTTTGAAACACTCTTTTTGTAGTATCTGGATGTGGACATTTGGAGCACTTTCAGGCCTATGGTGAAAAAGGAAATATCTTCCCCTGAAAACTAGACAGAAGCATTCTCAGAAACTTATTTGTGATGTGCACCCTCAACTAACAGTGTTGAAGCTTTCTTTTGACAGAGCAGTTTGAAACACTCTTTTTGTAAAATCTGCAAGAGGATATTTGGATTGTTTGAGGATTTCGGTGGAAATGGGATTGTCTTCATATAAACTCTAGACAGTAGCATTCTCAGAAGCTTCATTGGGATGTTTCAATTGAAGTCACAGTGTTGAACAGTCCCTTTCATAGAGCAGGTTTGAAACACTCTTTTTGTAGTATCTGGATGTGGACATTTGGAGCGCTTTCAGGCCTACGGTTTAAAAGGAAATATCTTCCCCTGAAAACTAGACAGAAGCATTCTCAGAAACTTATTTGTGATGTGCGCCCTCAACTAACAGTGTTGAAGCTTTCTTTTGATAGAGCAGTTTTGAAACACTCTTTTTGTAATATCTGCAAGAGGATATTTGGATAGCTTTGAGGATTTCGTTGGAAACGGGATTAATTATAAAAAGCAGACAGCAGCATTCTCAGAAACTTATTTGTGATGTGCGCCCTCAACTAACAGTGTTGAAGCTTTCTTTTGATAGAGCAGTTTTGAAACACTCTTTTTGTAATATCTGCAAGAGGATATTTGGATAGCTTTGAGGATTTCGTTGGAAACGGGATTAATTATACAAAGCAGACAGCAGCATTCTCAGAAGCTTCATTGGGATGTTTCAATTGAAGTCACAGTGTTGAACAGTCCCTTTCATAGAGCAGGTTTGAAACACTCTTTTTGTAGTATCTGGAAGTGGACATTTGGAGAGATCTCAGGAATACGGTGATAAAGGAAATATCTTCCAATAAAAGCTAGATAGAAGCAATGTCAGAAACTTTTTCATGATGTATCTACTCAGCTAACAGAGTTGAACCTTTCCTTTGAGAGAGCAGTTTTGAAACACTCTTTTTGTGGAATCTGCAAGTGGATATTTGTCTAGCTTTGAGGATTTCGTTGGAAACGGGATTACATATAAAAAGCAGACAGCAGCATTCCCAGAAACTTCTTTGTGTTGTTTGCATTCAAGTCACAGAGTTGAACATTCCCTTTCATAGAGCAGGTTTGAAACACTCTTTTTGTAGTATCTGGATGTGGACATTTGCAGCGCTTTCAGGCCTAAGGTGAAAAAGGAAATATCTTCCCCTGAAAACTAGACAGAAGCATTCTCAGAATCTTATTTGTGATGTGCGCCCTCAACTAACAGAGTTGAAGCTTTCTTTTGATAGAGCAGTTTTGAAACACTCTTTTTGTAAAATCTGCAAGAGGATATTTGGATAGCTTTGAGGATTTCGTTGGAAACGGGATTGTCTTCATATAAACTCTAGACAGAAGCATTCTCAGAAGCTTCATTGGGATGTTTCAATTGAAGTCACAGTGTTGAACAGTCCCTTTCATAGAGCAGGTTTGAAACACTCTTTTTGTAGTATCTGGAAGTGGACATTTGGAGAGATCTCAGGAATACGGTGAAAAAGGAAATATCTTCTCCCTGAAAACTAGACAGAAGCATTCTCAGAAACTTATTTGTGATGTGCGCCCTCAACTAACAGTGTTGAAGCATTCTTTTGATAGAGCAGTTTTGAAACACTCTTTTTGTGGAATCTGCAAGTGGATATTTGTCTAGCTTTGAGGATTTCGTTGGAAACGGGATTACATATAAAAAGCAGACAGCAGCATTCTCAGAAACTTATTTGTGATGTGCGCCCTCAACTAACAGTGTTGAAGCTTTCTTTTGATAGAGCAGTTTTGAAACACTCTTTTTGTAATATCTGCAAGAGGATATTTGGATAGCTTTGAGGATTTCGTTGGAAACGGGATTAATTATACAAAGCAGACAGCAGCATTCTGATAAGCTTCATTGGGATGTTTCAATTGAAGTCACAGTGTTGAACAGTCCCTTTCATAGAGCATGTTTGAAACACTCTTTTTGTAGTATCTGGAAGTGGACATTTGGAGCGTTCTCAGGACTACGGTGAAAAAGGAAATATCTTCCAAATAAAGCTAGATAGAAGCAATGTCAGAGAATTTTTCATGATGTATCTACTCAGCTAACAGAGTTCAACCTTTCTTTTGAGAGAGCCGTTTTGAAACACTCTTTTTGTGGAATCTGCAAGTGGATATTTGTCTAGATTTGAGGATTTCGTTGGAAACGGGATTACAAATAAAAAGCAGACAGCAGCATTCCCAGAAACTTCTTTGTGATGTTTGCATTCAAGTCACAGAGTTGAACATTCCCTTTCATAGAGCAGGTTTGAAACACTCTTTTTGTAGTATCTGGATGTGGACATTTGGAGCGCTTTCAGGCCTATGGTGAAAAAGGAAATATCTTCCCCTGAAAACTAGACAGAAGCATTCTGAGAATCTTATTTGTGATGTGCGCCCTCAACTAACAGTGTTGAAGCTTTCTTTTGATAGAGCAGTTTTGAAACACTCTTTTTGTAATATCTGCAAGAGGATATTTGGATAGCTTTGAGGATTTCGTTGGAAACGGGATTGTCTTCATATAAACTCTAGACAGAAGCATTCTCAGAAGCTTCATTGGGATGTTTCAATTGAAGTCACAGTGTTGAACAGTCCCTTTCATAGAGCAGGTTTGAAACACTCTTTTTGTAGTATCTGGATGTGGACATTTGGAGCGCTTTCAGGCCTATGGTGAAAAAGGAAATATCTTCCCCTGAAAACTAGACAGAAGCATTCTCAGAAACTTATTTGTGATGTGCGCCCTCAACTAACAGTGTTGAAGCTTTCTTTTGATAGAGCAGTTTTGAAACACTCTTTTTGTGGAATCTGCAAGTGGATATTTGTCTAGCTTTGAGGATTTCGTTGGAAACGGGATTACATATAAAAAGCAGACAGCAGCATTCTCAGAAACTTATTTGTGATGTGCGCCCTCAACTAACAGTGTTGAAGCTTTCTTTTGATAGAGCAGTTTTGAAACACTCTTTTTGTAATATCTGCAAGAGGATATTTGGATAGCTTTGAGGATTTCGTTGGAAACGGGATTAATTATACAAAGCAGACAGCAGCATTCTCAGAAGCTTCATTGGGATGTTTCAATTGAAGTCACAGTGTTGAACAGTTCCTTTCATTGAACAGGTTTGAAACACTCTTTTTGTAGTATCTGGAAGTGGACATTTGGAGCGCTCTCAGGACTAAGGTGAAAAAGGAAATATCTTCCAATAAAAGCTACATAGAAGCAATGTCAGAAACTTTTTCATGATGTATCTACTCAGCTACGAGAGTTGAACATTTTTTTTCAGAGAGCAGTTTTGAAACACTCTTTTTGTGGAATCTGCAGGTGGATATTTGTGTAGCTTTCAGGATTTCGTTGGAAACGGGATTACATATAAAAAGCAGACAGCAGCATTCCCAGAAACTTCTTTGTGATGTTTGCATTCAAGTCACAGAGTTGAACATTCCCTTTCATAGAGCAGGTTTGAAACACTCTTTTTGTAGTATCTGGATGTGGACATTTGGAGCGCTTTCAGGCCTATGGTGAAAAAGGAAATATCTTCCCCTGAAAACTAGACAGAAGCATTCTCAGAATCTTATTTGTGATGTGCGCCCTCAACTAACAGTGTTGAAGCTTTCTTTTGATAGAGCAGTTTTGAAACACTCTTTTCGTAAAATCTGCAAGAGGATATTTTGATAGCTTTGAGGATTTCGTTGGAAACGGGATTGTCTTCTTATAAACTCTAGACAGAAGCATTCTCAGAAGCATCATTGGGATGTTTCAATTGAAGTCACAGTGTTGAACAGTCCCTTTCATAGAGCAGGTTTGAGACACACTTTTTGTAGTATCTGGATGTGGACATTTGGAGCGCTTTCAGGCCTATGGTTTAAAAGGAAATATCTTCCCCTGAAAACTAGACAGAAGCATTTTCAGAAACTTATTTGTGATGTGCGCCCTCAACTAACAGTGTTGAAGCTTTCTTTTGATAGAGCAGTTTTGAAACACTCTTTTTGTGGAATCTGCAAGTGGATGTTTGTCTAGCTTTGGGGATTTCGTTGGAAACGGGATTACATATATAAAGCAGACAGCAGCATTCTCAGAAACTTATTTGTGATGTGCGCCCTCAACTAACAGTGTTGAAGCTTTCTTTTGATAGAGCAGTTTTGAAACACTCTTTTTGTAATATCTGCAAGAGGATATTTGGATAGCTTTGAGGATTTCGTTGGAAACGGGATTAATTATACAAAGCAGACAGCAGCATTCTCATAAATTTCTTTGGGATGTTTTAATTGAAGTCACAGTGTTGAACATTCCCTGTCATAGAGCAGGTTTGAAACACTCTTCTTGTAGTATCTGGAAGTGGACATTTGGAGCGCTCTCAGGACTACAGTGAAAAAGGAAATATCTTCCAATAAAAGCTAGATAGAAGCAATGTCAGAAACTTTTTCATGATGTATCTGCTCAGCTAACAGAGTTGAACCTTTCTTTTGAGAGAGCAGTTTTTAAACACTCTTTTTGTGGAATCTGCAAGTGGATATTTGTCTAGCTTTGATGATTTCGTTGGAAACGGGATTACATATAAAAAGCAGACAGCAGCATTCCCAGAAACTTCTTTGTGACGTTTGCATTCAAGTCACAGAGTTGAACATTCCCTTTCATAGAGCAGGTTTGAAACACTCTTTTTGTAGTATCTGGATGTGGACATTTGGAGCGCTTTCAGGCCTATGGTGAAAAAGGAAATATCTTCCCCTGAAAACTAGACAGAAGAATTCTCAGAATCTTATTTGTGATGTGCGCCCTCAACTAACAGTGTTGAAGCTTTCTTTTGATAGAGCAGTTTTGAAACACTCTTTTTGTAAAATCTGCAAGAGGATATTTGGATAGCTTTGAGGATTTCGTTGGAAACGGGATTATCTTCATATAAACTCTAGACAGAAGCATTCTCAGAAGCTTCATTGGGATGTTTCAATTGAAGTCACAGTGTTGAACAGTCCCTTTCATAAAGCAGGTTTCAAACACTCTTTTTGTAGTATCTGGATGTGGACATTTGGAGCGCTTTCAGGCCTATGGTTTAAAAGGAAATATCTTCCCCTGAAAACTAGACAGAAGCATTCTCAGAAACTTATTTGTGATGTGCGCCCTCAACTAACAGTGTTGAAGCATTCCTTTGATAGAGCAGTTTTGAAACACTCTTTTTGTGGAATCTGCAAGTGGATATTTGTCTATCTTTGAGGATTTCGTTGGAAACGGGATTATATATAAAAAGCAGACAGCAGCATTCTCAGAAACTTATTTGTGATGTGCGCCCTCAACTAACAGTGTTGAAGCTTTCTTTTGATAGAGCAGTTTTGAAACACTCTTTTTGTAATATCTGCAAGAGGATATTTGGATAGCTTTGAGGATTTCGTTGGAAACGGGATTAATTATACAAAGCAGACAGCAGCATTCTCAGAAGCTTCATTGGGATGTTTCAATTGAAGTCACAGTGTTGAACAGTCCCTTTCATAGAGCAGGTTTGAAACACTCTTTTTGTAGTATCTGGAAGTGGACATTTGGAACGCTCTCAGGACTGCGGTGAAAAAGGAAATATCTTCCAATAAAAGCTAGATAGAAGCAATGTCAGAAACTTTTTCATGATGTATCTACTCAGCTAACAGAGTTGAACCTTTCTTTTGAGAGAGCAGTTTTGAAACACTCTTTTTGTGGAATCTGCAAGTGGATATTTGTCTAGTTTTGAGGATTTCGTTGGAAACGGGATTACATATAAAAAGCAGACAGCACCATTCCCAGTAACTTCTTTGTGATGTTTGCATTCAAGTCAGAGAGTTGAACATTCCCTTTCATAGAGCAGGTTTGAAACACTCTTTTTGAAGTATCTGGATGTGGACATTTGGAGCGCTTTCAGGCCTATGGTGAAAAAGGAAATATCTTCCCCTGAAAACTAGACAGAAGCATTCTCAGAAACTTATTTGTGATGTGCGCCCTCAACTAACACTGTTGAACCTTTCTTTTGATAGAGCAGTTTTGAAACACTCTTTTTGTAATATCTGCAAGAGGATATTTGGATAGCTTTGAGGATTTCGTTGGAAACGGGATTGTCTTCATATAAACTCTAGACAGAAGCATTCTCAGAAGCGTCATTGGGATGTTTCAATTGAAGTCACAGTGTTGAACAGTCCCTTTCATAGAGCAGGTTTGAAACACTCTTTTTGTAGTATCTGGATGTGGACATTTGGAGCGCTTTCAGGCCTATGGTTTAAAAGGAAATATCTTCCCTTGAAAACTAGACAGAAGCATTCTCAGAAACTTATTTGTGATGTGCGCCCTCAACTAACAGTGTTGAAGCTTTCTTTTGATAGAGCAGTTTTGAAACACTCTTTTTGTGGAATCTGCAAGTGGATATTTGTCTAGCTTTGAGGATTTCGTTGGAAACGGGATTACATATAAAAAGCAGACAGCTAAGCATTCTCCGAAACTTATTTGTGATGGGCGCCCTCAACTAACAGTGTTGAAGCTTTCTTTTGATAGAGCAGTTTTGAAACACTCTTTTTGTAATATCTGCAAGAGGATATTTGGATAGCTTTCAGGATTTCGTTGGAAACGGGATTGTCTTCATATAAACTCTAGACATAAGCATTCTCAGAAGCTTCATTGGGATGTTTCAATTGAAGTCACAGTGTTGAACATTTCCTTTCATAGAACAGGTTTGAAACACTCTTTTTGTAGTATCTGGAAGTGGACATTTGGAGCGCTCTCAGGACTATGGTGAAAAAGGAAATATCTTCCAATAAAAGCTACATAGAAGCAATGTCAGAAACTTTTTCATGATGTATCTACTCAGCTAACAGAGTTGAACCTTCCTTTGAGAGAGCAGTTTTGAAACACTCTTTTTGTGGAATCTGCAAGTGGATATTTGTCTAGCTTTGAGGATTTCGTTGGAAACGGGATTGTCTTCATATAAACTCTAGACAGAAGCATTCTCAGAAGCGTCATTGGGATGTTTCAATTGAAGTCACAGTGTAGAACATTCCCTTTCATAGAGCAGGTTTGAAACACTCTTTTTGTAGTATCTGGATGTGGACATTTGGAGCGCTTTCAGGCCTGTGGTTTAAAAGGAAATATCTTCCCCTGAAAACTAGACAGAAGCATTCTCAGAAACTTATTTGTGATGTGCGCCCTCAACTAACAGTGTTGAACCTTTCTTTTGATAGAGCAGTTTTGAAACACTCTTTTTGTAATATCTGCAAGAGGATATTTGGATAGCTTTGAGGATTTCGTTGGAAACGGGATTACATATAAAAAGCAGACAGCAGCATTCTCAGAAACTTATTTGTGATGTGCGCCCTCAACTAACAGTGTTGAAGCTTTATTTTGATAGAGCAGTTTTGAAACACTCTTTTTGTAATATCTGCAAGAGAATATTTGGATAGCTTTGAGGATTTCGTTGGAAACGGGATTGTCTTCATATAAACTCTAGAAAGAAGCATTCTCAGAAGCTTCATTGGGATGTTTCAATTGAAGTCACAGTGTTGAACAGTCCCTTTCATAGAGCAGGTTTGAAACACTCTTTTTGTAGTATCTGGAAGTGGACATTTGGAGAGATCTCAGGAATACGGTGATAAAGGAAATATCTTCCAATAAAAGCTAGATAGAAGGAATGTCAGAAACTTTTTCATGATGTATCTACTCAGCTAAAAGGGTTGAACCTTTCTTTTGAGAGAGCAGTTTTGAAACACTCTTTTTGTGGAATCTGCAAGTGGATATTTGTCTAGCTTTGAGGATTTCGTTGGAAACGGGATTACATATAAAAAGCAGACAGCAGCATTCCCAGAATCTTCTTTGTTATGTTTGCATTCAAGTCACGGAGTTGAACATTCCCTTTCATAGAGCAGGTTTGAAACACTCTTTTTGTAGTATCTGGATGTGGACATTTGGAGCGCTTTCAGGCCTATGGTGAAAAAGGAAATATCTTCCCCTGAAAACTAGACAGAAGCATTCTCAGAATCTTATTTGTGATGTGCGCCCTCAACTAACAGTGTTGAAGCTTTCTTTTGATAGAGCAGTTTTGAAACTCTCTTTTTGTAAAATCTGCAAGAGGATATTTTGATAGCTTTGAGGATTTCGTTGGAAACGGGATTGTCTTCATATAAACACTAGACAGAAGCATTCTCAGAAGCTTCATTGGGATGTTTCAATTGAAGTCACAGTGTTGAACAGTCCCTTTCATAGAGCAGGTTTGAAACACTCTTTTTGTAGTATCTGGAAGTGGACATTTGGAACGCTCTCAGGACTGCGGTGAAAAAGGAAATATCTTCCAATAAAAGCTAGATAGAAGCAATGTCAGAAACTTTTTCATGATGTATCTACTCAGCTAACAGAGTTGAACCTTTCCTTTGAGAGAGCAGTTTTGAAACACTCTTTTTGTGGAATCTGCAAGTGGATATTTGTGTAGCTTTGAGGATTTCGTTGGAAACGGGATTACATATAAAAAGCAGACAGCAGCATTCCCAGAAACTTCTTTGTGTTGTTTGCATTCAAGTCACAGAGTTGAACATTCCCTTTCATAGAGCAGGTTTGAAACACTCTTTTTGTAGTATCTGGATGTGGACATTTGCAGCGCTTTCAGGCCAAAGGTGAAAAAGGAAATATCTTCCCCTGAAAACTAGACAGAAGCATTCTCAGAAACTTATTTGTGATGTGCGCCCTCAACTAACAGTGTTGAAGCTTTCTTTTGATAGAGCAGTTTTGAAACACTCTTTTTGTAATATCTGCAAGAGGATATTTGGATAGCTTTGAGGATTTCGTTGGAAACGGGATTGTCTTCATATAAACTCTAGACAGAAGCATTCTCAGAAGCTTCATTGGGATGTTTCAATTGAAGTCACAGTGTTGAACAGTCCCTTTCATAGAGCAGGTTTGAAACACTCTTTTTGTAGTATCTGGATGTGGACATTTGGAGCGCTTTCAGGCCTATGGTGAAAAAGGAAATATCTTCCCCTGAAAACTAGACAGAAGCATTCTCAGAAACTTATTTGTGATGTGCGCCCTCAACTAACAGTGTTGAAGCATTCTTTTGATAGAGCAGTTTTGAAACACTCTTTTTGTGGAATCTGCAAGTGGATATTTGTCTAGCTTTGAGGATTTCGTTGTTATCGGGATTACATATAAAAAGCAGACAGCAGCATTCTCAGAAACTTATTTGTGATGTGCGCCCTCAACTAACAGTGTTGAAGCTTTATTTTGATAGAGCAGTTTTGAAACACTCTTTTTGTAATATCTGCAAGAGAATATTTGGATAGCTTTGAGGATTTCGTTGGAAACGGGATTGTCTTCATATAAACTCTAGAAAGAAGCATTCCCAGAAGCTTCATTGGGATGTTTCAATTGAAGTCACAGTGTTGAACAGTCCCTTTCATAGAGCAGGTTTGAAACACTCTTTTTGTAGTATCTGGAAGTGGACTTTTGGAGAGATCTCAGGAATACGGTGATAAAGGAAATATCTTCCAATAAAAGCTACATAGAAGCAATGTCAGAAAATTTTTCATGATGTTTCTACTCAGCTAACAGAGTTGAACCTTTCTTTTGAGAGAGCAGTTTTGAAACCCTCTTTTTGTGGAATCTGCAAGTGGATATTTGTCTACCTTTGAGGATTGCGTTTGAAACGGGATTACATATAAAAAGCAGACAGCAGCATTCCCAGTAAACTTCTTTGTGAAATTTGCATTCAAGTCACAGACTTGAACATTCCCTTTCATAGAGCAGGTTTGAAACACTCTTTTTGTAGTATCTGGATGTGGACATTTGGAGCGCTTTCAGGCCTATGGTGAAAAAGGAAATATCTTCCCCTGAAAACTATACAGAAGCATTCTCAGAAACTTATTTGTGATGTGCGCCCTCAACTAACAGTGTTGAACCTTTCTTTTGATAGAGCAGTTTTGAAACACTCTTTTTGTAAAATCTGCAAGAGGATATTTGGATAGCTTTGAGGATTTCGTTGGAAACGGGATTGTCTTCATATAAAATCTAGACAGAAGCATTCTCAGAAGCTTCATTGGGATGTTTCAATTGAAGTCACAGTGTTGAACAGTCCCTTTCATAGAGCAGGTTTGAAACACTCTTTTTGTAGTATCTGGATGTGGACATTTGGAGCGCTTTCAGGCCTATGGTTTAAAAGGAAATATCTTCCCCTGAAAACTAGACAGAAGCATTCTCAGAAACTTATTTGTGATGTGCGCCCTCAACTAACAGTGTTGAAGCTTTCTTTTGATAGAGCAGTTTTGAAACACTCTTTTTGTAATATCTGCAAGAGGATATTTGGATAGCTTTGAGGATTTCGTTGGAAACGGGATTAATTATAAAAAGCAGACAGCTAAGCATTCTCCGAAACTTATTTGTGATGGGCGCCCTCAACTAACAGTGTTGAAGCTTTCTTTTGATAGAGCAGTTTTGAAACACTCTTTTTGTAATATCTGCAAGAGGATATTTGGATAGCTTTCAGGATTTCGTTGGAAACGGGATTGTCTTCATATAAACTCTAGACATAAGCATTCTCATCAGCTTCATTGGGATGTTTCAATTGAAGTCACAGTGTTGAACAGTCCCTTTCATAGAGCATGTTTGAAACACTCTTTTTGTAGTATCTGGAAGTGGACATTTGGAGCGTTCTCAGGACTACGGTGAAAAAGGAAATATCTTCCAAATAAAGCTAGATAGAAGCAATGTCAGAAACTTTTTCATGATGTATCTACTCAGCTAACAGAGTTGAACATTTTTTCTGAGAGAGCAGTTTTCAAACACTCTTTTTGTGGAATCTGCAGGTGGATATTTGTCTAGCTTTCAGGATTATGTTGGAAACGGGATTACATATAAAAAGCAGACAGCAGCATTCCCAGTAACTACTTTGTGATGTTTGCATTCAAGTCACAAAGTTGAACATTCCCTTTCATAGAGCAGGTTTGAAACACTCTTTTTGTAGTATCTGGATGTGGACATTTGGAGCACTTTCAGGCCTATGGTGAAAAAGGAAATATCTTCCCCTGAAAACTAGACAGAAGCATTCTCAGAAACTTATTTGTGATGTGCGCCCTCACCTAACAGTGTTGAAGCTTTCTTTTGATAGAGCAGTTTTGAAACACTCTTTTTGTAAAATCTGCAAGAGGATATTTGGATAGCTTTGAGGATTTCGTTGGAAACGGGATTGTCTTCATATAAACTCTAGACAGAAGCATTCTCAGAAGCTTCATTGGGATGTTTCAATTGAAGTCACAGTGTTGAACAGTCCCTTTCATAGAGCAGGTTTGAAACACTCTTTTTGTAGTATCTGGAAGTGGACATTTGGAGAGATCTCAGGAATACGGTGAAAAAGGAAATATCTTCTCCTGAAAACTAGACAGAAGCATTCTCAGAAACTTATTTGTGATGTGCGCCCTCAACTAACAGTGTTGAAGCTTTCTTTTGATAGAGCAGTTTTGAAACACTCTTTTTGTGGAATCTGCAAGTGGATATTTGTCTAGCTTTGAGGATTTCGTTGGAAACGGGATTACATATAAAAAGCAGACAGCAGCATTCTCAGCAAACTTATTTGTGATGTGCGCCCTCAACTAACAGTGTGGAACTTTTCTTTTGATAGAGCAGTTTTGAAACACTCTTTTTGTAAAATCTGCAAGAGGATATTTGGATAGCTTTGAGGATTTCGTTGGAAACGGGATTGTCTTCATATAGAATCTAGACAGAAGCATTCTCAGAAGCTTCATTGGGATGTTTCAATTGAAGTCACAGTGTTGAACAGTCCCTTTCATAGAGCAGGTTTGAAACACTCTTTTTTTAGTATCTGGAAGTGGACATTTGGAGAGATCTCAGGAATACGGTGATAAAGGAAATATCTTCCAATAAAAGCTAGATAGAAGCAATGTCAGAAAATTTTTCATGATGTATCTACTCAGCTAACAGGGTTGAACCTTTCTTTTGAGAGAGCAGTTTTGAAACACTCTTTTTTGTGGAATCTGCAAGTGGATATTTGTCTAGCTTTGAGGATTGCGTTGGAAACGGGATTACATATAAAAAGCAGACAGCAGCATTCCCAGAAACTTCTTTGTGATGTTTGCATTCAAGTCACAGAGTTGAACATTCCCTTTCATAGAGCAGGTTTGAAACACTCTTTTTGTAGAATCTGTATGTGGACATTTGGAGCGCTTTCAGGCCTATGGTGAAAAAGGAAATATCTTCCCCTGAAAACTAGACAGAAGCATTCTCAGAAACTTATTTGTGATGTGCGCCCTCAACTAACAGTGTTGAACCTTTCTTTTGATAGAGCCGTTTTGAAACACTCTTTTTGTAATATCTGCAAGAGGATATTTGGATAGCTTTGAGGATTTCGTTGGAAACGGGATTGTCTTCATATAAACTCTAGACAGAAGCATTCTCAGAAGCATCATGGGGATGTTTCAATTGAAGTCACAATGTTGAACAGTCCCTTACATAGAGCAGGTTTGAAACACTCTTTTTGTAGTATCTGGATGTGGACATTTGAGCGCTTTCAGGCCTATGGTTTAAAAGGAAATATCTTCCCCTGAAAACTAGACAGAAGCATTCTCAGAAACTTATTTGTGATGTGCGCCCTCAACTAACAGTGTTGAAGCTTTCTTTTGATAGAGCAGTTTTGAAACACTCTTTTTGTGGAATCTGCAAGTGGATATTTGTCTAGCTTTGAGGATTTCGTTGGAAACGGGATTACATATAAAAAGCAGACAGCAGCATTCTCAGTAAACTTATTTGTGATGTGCGCCCTCAACTAACAGTGTTGAACCTTTCTTTTGATAGAGCAGTTTTGAAACACTCTTTTTGTAATATCTGCAAGAGGATATTTGGATAGCTTTGAGGATTTCGTTGGAAACGGGATTGTCTTCATATAAACTCTAGACAGAAGCATTCTCAGAAGCTTCATTGGGATGTTTCAATTGAAGTCACAGTGTTGAACAGTTCCTTTCATAGAACAGGTTTGAAACACTCTTTTTGTAGTATCTGGAAGTGGACATTTGGAGCGCTCTCAGGACTACGGTGAAAAAGGAAATATCTTCCAATAAAAGCTACATAGAAGCAATGTCAGAAAATTTTTCATGATGTATCTACTCAGCTAACAGAATTGAAACTTTCTTTTGAGAGAGCAGTTTTGAAACACTCTTTTTGTGGATTCTGCAAGTGGATATTTGTCTAGCTTTGAGGATTTCGTTGGAAACGGGATTACATATAAAAAGCAGACAGCAGCATTCCCAGAAACTTCTTTGTGATATTTGCATTCAAGTCACAGACTTGAACATTCCCTTCCATAGAGCGGGTTTGAAACACTCTTTTTGTAGTATCTGGATGTGGACATTTGGAGCGCTTTCAGGCCTATGGTGAAAAAGGAAATATCTTCCCCTGAAAACTAGACAGAAGCATTCTCAGAATCTTATTTGTGATGTGCGCCCTCAACTAACAGTGTTGAAGCTTTCTTTTGATAGAGCAGTTTTGAAACACTCTTTTCGTAAAATCTGCAAGAGGATATTTGGATAGCTTTGAGGATTTCGTTGGAAACGGGATTGTCTTCATATAAACTCTAGACAGAAGCATTCTCAGAAGCTTCATTGGGATGTTTCAATTGAAGTCACAGTGTTGAACAGTCCCTTTCATAGAGCAGGTTTGAAACACTCTTTTTGTAGTATCTGGATGTGGACATTTGGAGCGCTTTCAGGCCTATGGTGAAAAAGGAAATATCTTCCCCTGAAAACTAGACAGAAGCATTCTCAGAAACTTATTTGTGATGTGCGCCCTCAACTAACAGTGTTGAAGCTTTCTTTTTATACAGCAGTTTTGAAACACTCTTTTTGTGGAATCTGCAAGTGTATATTTGTCTAGCTTTGAGGATTTCGTTGGAAACGGGATTACATATAAAAAGCAGACAGCAGCATTCCCAGAATCTTGTTTGTGATGTTTGCATTCAAGTCACAGAGTTCAACATTCCCTTTCAGAGAGCAGGTTTGAAACACTCTTTTTATAGTATCTGGATGTGGACATTTGGAGCGCTTTCAGGCCTATGGTGAAAAAGGAAATATCTTCTCCTGAACACTAGACAGAAGAATTCTCAGAAGCTTCATTGGGATGTTTCAATTGAAGTCACAGTGTTGAACAGTCCCTTTCATAGACCAGGTTTGAAACACTCTTTTTGTAGTATCTGGAAGTGGACATTTGGAGCGCTCTCAGGACTGCGGTGAAAAAGGAAATATCTTCCAATAAAAGCTAGATAGAAGCAATGTCAGAAACTTTTTCATGATGTATCTATTCAGCTAACAGAGTTGAACCTTCCTTTGAGAGAGCAGTTTTGAAACACTCTTTTTGTGGAATCTGCAAGTGGATATTTGTCTAGCTTTGAGGATTTCGTTGGAAATGGGATTACATATAAAAAGCAGACAGCAGCATTCCCAGAAACTTCTTTGTGAAGTTTGCATTCAAGTCACAGAGTTGAACATTCCCTTTCATAGAGCAGGTTTGAAACACTCTTTTTGTAGTATCTGGATGTGGACATTTGGAGCGCTTTCAGGCCTATGGTGAAAAAGGAAATATCTTCCCCTGAAAACTAGACAGAAGCATTCTCAGAATCTTATTTGTGATGTGCGCCCTCAACTAACAGTGTTGAAGCTTTCTTTTGATAGAGCAGTTTTGAAACACTCTTTTTGTAAAATCTGCAAGAGGATATTTGGATAGCTTTGAGGATTTCGTTGGAAACGGGATTGTCTTCATATAAACTCTAGACAGAAGCATTCTCAGAAGCTTCATTGGGATGTTTCAATTGAAGTCACAGTGTTGAACAGTCCCTTTCATAGAGCAGGTTTGAAACACTCTTTTTGTAGTATCTGGATGTGGACATTTGGAGCGCTTTCAGGCCTATGGTTTAAAAGGAAATATCTTCCCCTGAAAACTAGACAGAAGCATTCTCAGAAACTTATTTGTGATGTGCCCCCTCAACTAACAGTGTTGAAGCTTTCTTTTGATAGAGCAGTTTAGAAACACTCTTTTTGTGGAATCTGCAAGTGGATATTTGTCTAGCTTTGAGGATTTCGTTGGAAACGGGATTACATATAAAAAGCAGACAGCAGCATTCTCAGTAAACTTATTTGTGATGTGCGCCCTCAACTAACAGTGTTGAACCTTTCTTTTGATAGAGCAGTTTTGAAACACTCTTTTTGTAATATCTGCAAGAGGATATTTGGATAGCTTTGAGGATTTCGTTGGAAACGGGATTGTCTTCATATAAACTCTAGACAGAAGCATTCTCAGAAGCTTCATTGGGATGTTTCAATTGAAGTCACAGTGTTGAACAGTCCCTTTCATAGAGCAGGTTTGAAACACTCTTTTTGTAGCATCTGGAAGTGGACATTTGGAGCGTTCTCAGGAGTACGGAGCAAAAGGAAATATCTTCCAATAAAAGCTACATAGAAGCAATGTCAGTAAACTTTTTCATGATGTATCTACTCAGCTAACAGAGTTGAACCTTTCTTTTGAGAGAGCAGTTTTGAAACACTCTTTTTGTGGAATCTGCAAGTGGATATTTGTCTAGTTTTGAGGATTTCGTTGGAAACGGGATTACATATAAAAAGCAGACAGCAGCATTCCCAGAAACTTCTTTGTGATGTTTGCATTCAAGTCACAGAGTTGAACATTCCCTTTCATAGAGCAGGTTTGAAACACTCTTTTTGTAGTATCTGGATGTGGACATTTGGAGCGCTTTCAGGCCTATGGTGAAAAAGGAAATATCTTCCACTGAAAATTAGACAGAAGCATTCTCAGAATCTTATTTGTGATGTGCGCCCTCAACTAACAGTGTTGAAGCTCTCTTTTGATAGAGCAGTTTTGAAACACACTTTTTGTAAAATCTGCAAGAGGATATTTGATTAGCTTTGAGGATTTCGTTGGAAATGGGATTGTCTTCATATAAACTCTAGACAGAAGCATTCTCAGAAGCTTCATTGGGATGTTTCAATTGAAGTCACAGTGTTGAACAGTCCCTTTCATAGAGCAGGTTTCAAACACTCTTTTTGTAGTATCTGGATGTGGACATTTGGAGCGCTTTCAGGCCTATGGTTTAAAAGGAAATATCTTCCCCTGAAAACTAGACAGAAGCATTCTCAGAAACTTATTTGTGATGTGCGCCCTCAACTAACAGTGTTGAAGCTTTCTTTTGATACAGCAGTTTTGAAACACTCTTTTTGTGGAATCTGCAAGTGTATATTTGTCTAGCTTTGAGGATTTCGTTGGAAACGGGATTACATATAAAAAGCAGACAGCAGCATTCTCAGAATCTTATTTGTGATGTGCGCCCTCAACTAACAGTGTTGAAGCTTTCTTTTGATAGAGCAGTTTTGAAACACTCTTTTTGTAAAATCTGCAAGAGGATATTTGGATAGCTTTGAGGATTTCGTTGGAAACGGGATTGTCTTCATATAAATTCTAGACAGAAGCATTCTCAGAAGCTTCATTGGGATGTTTCAATTGAAGTCACAGTGTTGAACAGTCCCTTTCATAGAGCAGGTTTGAAACACTCTTTTTGTAGTATCTGGAAGTGGACATTTGGAGCGCTCTCAGGACTACGGTGAAAAAGGAAATATCTTCCAATAAAAGCTACATAGAAGCAATGTCAGAAACTTTTTCATGATGTATCTACTCAGCTAAAAGAGTTGAAACTTTCTTTTGTGAGAGCAGTTTTGAAACACTATTTTTGTGGAATCTGCAAGTGGATATTTGTCTAGGTTTGAGGATTTCGTTGGAAACGGGATTACATATAAAAACAGACAGCAGCATTCCCAGAAACTTCTTTGTGATGTTTGCATTCAAGTCACAGAGTTGAACATTCCCTTTCATAGAGCAGGTTTGAAACACTGTTTTTGTAGTATCTGGATGTGGACATTTGCAGCGCTTTCAGGCCTAAGGTGAAAAAGGAAATATCTTCCCCTGAAAACTAGACAGAAGCATTCTCAGAAACTTATTTGTGATGTGCGCCCTCAACTAACAGTGTTGAAGCTTTCTTTTGATAGAGCAGTTTTGAAACACTCTTTTTGTGGAATCTGCAAGTGGATATTTGTCTAGCTTTGAGGATTTCGTTGGAAACGGGATTACATATAAAAAGCAGACAGCAGCAATGTCAGAAACTTTTTCATGATGTATCTACTCAGCTAACAGAGTTGAACCTTCTTTTGAGAGAGCAGTTTTGAAACACTCTTTTTGTGGAATCTGCAAGAGGATATTTGTCTAGCTTTGAGGATTTCGTTGGAAACGGGATTGTCTTCATATAAACTCTAGACAGAAGCATTCTCAGAAGCTTCATTGGGATGTTTCAATTGAAGTCACAGTGTTGAACAGTTCCTTTCATAGAACAGGTTTGAAACACTCTTTTTGTAGTATCTGGAAGTGGACATTTGGAGCGCTCTCAGGACTACGGTGAAAAAGGAAATATCTTCCAATAAAAGCTACATAGAAGCAATGTCAGAAACTTTTTCATGATGTATCTACTCAGCTAACAGAGTTGAACCTTTCTTTTGAGAGAGCAGTTTTGACACACTCTTTTTGTGGAATCTGGAAGTGGATATTTGTCTAGCTTTGAGGATTTCGTTGGAAACGGGATTACATATAAAAAGCAGACAGCAGCATTCCCAGTAACTTCTTTGTGATGTTTGCATTCAAGTCACAGAGTTGAACATTCCCTTTCATAGAGCAGGTTTGAAAAACTCTTTTTGTAGTATCTGGATGTGGACATTTGGAGCGCTTTCAGGCCTATGGTGAAAAAGGAAATATCTTCCCCTGAAAACTAGACAGAAGCATTCTCAGAATCTTATTTGTGATGTGCGCCCTCAGCTAACAGTGTTGAAGCTTTCTTTTGATAGAGCAGTTTTGAAACACTCTTTTCGTAAAATCTGCAAGAGGATAATTGGTAGCTTTTGAGGATTTCGTTGGAAACGGGATTGTCTTCATATAAACTCTAGACAGAAGCATTCTCAGAAGCCTCATTGGGATGTTTCAATTGAAGTCACAGTGTTGAACAGTCCCTTTCATAGAGCAGGTTTGAAACACTCTTTTTGTAGTATCTGGAAGTGGACATTTGGAGCGCTTTCAGGCCTATGGTGAAAAAGGAAATATCTTCCTCTGAAAACTAGACAGAAGCATTCTCAGAAACTTATTTGTGATGTGCGCCCTCAACTAACAGTGTTGAAGCTTTCTTTTGATAGAGCAGTTTTGAAACACTCTTTTTGTGGAATCTGCATCTGGATATTTTTCTAGCTTTGAGGATTTCGTTGGAAACGGGATTACATATAAAAAGCAGACAGCAGCATTCTCAGAAACTTATTTGTGATGTGCGCCCTCAAGTAACAGTGTTGAACCTGTCTTTTGATAGAGCAGTTTTGAAACACTCTTTTTGTAAAATCTGCAAGAGGATATTTGGATAGCTTTGAGGATTTCGTTGGAAACGGGATTGTCTTCATATAAACTCTAGACAGAAGCATTCTCATAAATTTCTTTGGGATGTTTCAATTGAAGTCACAGTGTTGAACATTCCCTGTCATAGAGCAGGTTTGAAACACTCTTCTTGTAGTATCTGGAAGTGGACATTTGGAGCGCTCTCAGGACTACAGTGAAAAAGGAAATATCTTCCAATAAAAGCTAGATAGAAGCAATGTCAGAAACTTTTTCATGATGTATCTACTCAGCTAACAGAGTTGAACCTTTCCTTTGAGAGAGCAGTTTTGAAACACTCTTTTTGTGGAATCTGCAAGTGGATATTTGTCTAGCTTTGAGGATTTCTTTGGAAACGGGATTACATATAAAAAGCAGCCAGCAGCATTCCCAGAAACTTCTTTGTGACGTTTGCATTCAAGTCACAGAGTTGAACATTCCCTTTCATAGAGCAGGTTTGAAACACTCTTTTTGTAGTATCTGGATGTGGACATTTGGAGCGCTTTCAGGCCTATGGTGAAAAAGGAAATATCTTCCCCTGAAAACTAGACAGAAGCATTCTCAGAATCTTATTTGTGATGTGCGCCCTCAACTAACAGTGTTGAAGCTTTCTTTTGATAGAGCAGTTTTGAAACACTCTTTTCGTAAAATCTGCAAGAGGATATTTTGATAGCTTTGAGGATTTCGTTGGAAACGGGATTGTCTTCATATAAACTCTAGACAGAAGCATTCTCAGAAGCTTCATTGGGATGTTTCAATTGAAGTCACAGTGTTGAACAGTCCCTTTCATAGAGCAGGTTTGAAACACTCTTTTTGTAGTATCTGGAAGTGGACATTTGGAGAGATCTCAGGAATACGGTGAAAAAGGAAATATCTTCTCCCTGAAAACTAGACAGAAGCATTCTCAGAAACTTATTTGTGATGTGCGCCCTCAACTAACAGTGTTGAAGCTTTCTTTTGATAGAGCAGTTTTGAAACACTCTTTTTGTGGAATCTGCAAGTGGATATTTGTCTAGCTTTGAGGATTTCGTTGGAAACGGGATTACATATAAAAAGCAGACAGCAGCATTCTCAGTAAACTTATTTGTGATGTGCGCCCTCAACTAACAGTGTTGAACCTTTCTTTTGATAGAGCAGTTTTGAAACACTCTTTTTGTAATATCTGCAAGAGGATATTTGGATAGCTTTGAGGATTTCGTTGGAAACGGGATTGTCTTCATATAAACTCTAGACAGAAGCATTCTCAGAAGCTTCATTGGGATGTTTCAATTGAAGTCACAGTGTTGAACAGTCCCTTTCATAGAGCAGGTTTGAAACACTCTTTTTGTAGTATCTGGAAGTGGACATTTGGAGCGCTCTCAGGACTACGGTGAAAAAGGAAGTATCTTCCAATAAAAGCTAGATAGAAGCAATGTCAGAAACTTTTTCATGATGTATCTACTCAGCTAACAGAGTTGAACCTTCCTTTGAGAGAGCAGTTTTGAAACACTCTTTTTGTGGAATCTGCAAGTGGATATTTGTCTAGCTTTGAGGATTTCGTTGGAAACGGGATTGTCTTCATATAAACTCTAGACAGAAGCATTCTCAGAAGCTTCATTGGGATGTTTCAATTGAAGTCACAGTGTTGAACAGTTCCTTTCATAGAACAGGTTTGAAACACTCTTTTTGTAGTATCTGGAAGTGGACATTTGGAGCGCTCTCAGGACTACGGTGAAAAAGGAAATATCTTCCAATAAAAGCTACATAGAAGCAATGTCAGAAACTTTTTCATGATGTATCTACTCAGCTAACAGAGTTGAACCTTTCCTTTGAGAGAGCAGTTTTGAAACACTCTTTTTGTGGAATCTGCAAGTGGATATTTGTCTAGCTTTGAGGATTTCGTTGGAAACGGGATTACATATAAAAAGCAGACAGCAGCATTCCCAGTAACTTCTTTGTGGTGTTTGCATTCAAGTCACAGAGTTGAACATTCCCTTTCATAGAGCAGGTTTGAAACACTCTTTTTGTAGTATCTGGATGTGGACATTTGGAGTGCTTTCAAGCCTATGGTGAAAAAGGAAATATCTTCCCCTGAAAACTAGACAGAAGCATTCTCAGAAACTTATTTGTGATGTGCGCCCTCAACTAACAGTGTTGAAGCTTTCTTTTGATAGAGCAGTTTTGAAACACTCTTTTTGGAATATCTGCAAGAGGGTATTTGGATAGCTTTGAGGATTTCGTTGGAAACGGGATTGTCTTCATATAAACTCTAGACAGAAGCATTCTCAGAAGCTTCATTGGGATGTTTCAATTGAAGTCACAGTGTTGAACAGTCCCTTTCATAGAGCAGGTTTGAAACACTCTTTTTGTAGTATGTGGATGTGGACATTTCGAGCGCTTTCAGGCCTATGGTGAAAAAGGAAATATCTTCCCCTGAAAACTAGACAGAAGCATTCTCAGAAACTTATTTGTGATGTGCGCCCTCAACTAACAGTGTTGAAGCTTTCTTTTGATAGAGCAGTTTTGAAACACTCTTTTTGTGGAATCTGCAAGTGGATATTTGTCTAGCTTTGAGGATTTCGTTGGAAACGGGATTACATATAAAAAGCAGACAGCAGCATTCTCAGAAACTTATTTGTGATGTGCGCCCTCAACTAACAGTGTTGAAGCTTTCTTTTGATAGAGCAGTTTTGAAACACTCTTTTTGTAATATCTGCAAGAGGATATTTGGATAGCTTTGAGGATTTCGTTGGAAACGGGATTAATTATACAAAGCAGACAGCAGCATTCTCAGAAGCTTCATTGGGATTTTTCAATTGAAGTCACAGTGTTGAACAGTCCCTTTCATAGAGCAGGTTTGAAACACTCTTTGTAGTATCTGGAAGTGGACATTTGGAGCGCTCTCAGGACTACGGTGAAAAAGGAAGTATCTTCCAATAAAAGCTAGATAGAAGCAATGTCAGAAACTTTTTCATGATGTATCTACTCAGCTAACAGAGTTGAACCTTTCTTTTGAGAGAGCAGTTTTGAAACACTCTTTTTGTGGAATCTGCAAGTGGATATTTGTCTAGTTTTGAGGATTTCGTTGGAAACGGGATTACATATAAAAAGCAGACAGCAGCATTCCCAGAAACTTCTTTGTGATGTTTGCATTCAAGTCACACAGTTGAACTTTCCCTTTCATAGAGCAGGTTTGAAACACTCTTTTTGTAGTATCTGGATGTGGACATTTGGGGCGCTTTCAGGCTTATGGTGAAAAAGGAAATATCTTCCCCTGAAAACTAGACAGAAGCACTCTCAGAATTTTATTTGTGATGTGCGCCCTCAACTAACAGTGTTGAAGCTTTCTTTTGATAGAGCAGTTTTGAAACACTCTTTTTGTAAAATCTGCAAGAGGATATTTGGATAGCTTTGAGGATTTCTTTGGAAACTGGATTGTCTTCATATAAACTCTAGACAGAAGCATTCTCAGAAGCTTCATTGGGATGTTTCAATTGAAGTCACAGTGTTGAACAGTCCCTTTCATAGAGCAGGTTTGAAACACTCTTTTTGTAGTATCTGGATGTGGACATTTGGAGCGCTTTCAGGCCTATGGTGAAAAAGGAAATATCTTCCCCTGAAAACTAGACAGAAGCATTCTCAGAAACTTATTTGTGATGTGCGCCCTCAACTAACAGTGTTGAAGCTTTCTTTTGATAGAGCAGTTTTGAAACACTCTTTTTGTGGAATCTGCAAGTGGATATTTGTCTAGCTTTCAGGATTTCGTTGGAAACGGGATTACATATAAAAAGCAGACAGCAGCATTCCCAGTAACTTCTTTGTGATGTTTGCATTCAAGTCCCAGAGTTGAACATTCCCTTTCATAGAGCAGGTTTGAAACACTCTTTTTATAGTATCTGGATGTGGACATTTGGAGCGCTTTCAGGCCTATGGTGAAAAAGGAAATATCTTCTCCTGAAAACTAGACAGAAGCATTCTCAGAAGCTTCATTGGGATGTTTCAATTGAAGTCACAGTGTTGAACAGTCCCTTTCATAGAGCAGGTTTGAAACACTCTTTTTGTAGTATCTGGAAGTGGACATTTGGAGAGATCTCAGGAATACGGTGATAAAGGAAATATCTTCCAATAAAAGCTAGATAGAAGCAATGTCAGAAAATTTTTCATGATGTATCTACTCAGCTAACAGAATTTAACCTTTCTTTTGAGAGAGAAGTTTTGAAACACTCTTTTTGTGGAATCTGCAAGTGGATATTTGTCTAGGTTTGAGGATTTCGTTGGAAACCGGATTACATATGAAAAGCAGACAGCAGCATTCCCAGAAACTTCTTTGTGATGTTTGCATTCAAGTCACAGAGTTGAACATTCCCTTTCATAGAGCAGGTTTGAAACACTCTTTTTGTAGTATCTGGATGTGGACATTTGGAGCGCTTTCAGGCCTATGGTGAAAAAGGAAATATCTTCCCCTGAAAACTAGACAGAAGCATTCTCAGAATCTTATTTGTGATGTGCGCCCTCAACTAACAGTGTTGAAGCTTTCTTTTGATAGAGCAGTTTTGAAACACTCTTTTTGTAAAATCTGCAAGAGGATATTTGGATAGCTTTGAGGATTTCCTTGGAAACGGGATTGTCTCCATATAAACTCTAGACAGAAGCATTCTCAGAAGCGTCATTGGGATGTTTCAATTGAAGTCACAGTGTTGAACAGTCCCTTTCATAGAGCAGGTTTGAAACACTCTTTTTGTAGTATCTGGATGTGGACATTTGGAGCGCTTTCAGGCCTATGGTTTAAAAGGAAATATCTTCCCCTGAAAACTAGACAGAAGCATTCTCAGAAACTTATTTCTGATGTGCGCCTTCAACTAACAGTGTTGAAGCATTCTTTTGATAGAGCAGTTTTGAAACACTCTTTTTGTGGAACCTGCAAGTGGATATTTGTCTAGCTTTGAGGATTTCGTTGGAAACGGGATTACATATAAAAAGCAGACAGCAGCATTCTCAGAAACTTATTTGTGATGTGCGCCCTCAACTAACAGTGTTGAAGCTTTCTTTTGATAGAGCAGTTTTGAAACACTCTTTTTGTAATATCTGCAAGAGGATATTTGGATAGCTTTGAGGATTTCGTTGGAAACGGGATTAATTATACAAAGCAGACAGCAGCATTCTCAGAAGCTTCATTGGGATGTTTCAATTGAAGTCACAGTGTTGAACAGTTCCTTTCATAGAACAGGTTTGAAACACTCTTTTTGTAGTATCTGGAAGTGGACATTTGGAGCGCTCTCAGGACTATGGTGAAAAAGGAAATATCTTCCAATAAAAGCTACATAGAAGCAATGTGAGAAACTTTTTCATGATGTATCTACTCAGCTAAAACAGTTGAACCTTTCTTTTGAGAGAGCAGTTTTGAAACACTCGTTTTGTGGAATCTGCAAGTGGATATTTGTCTAGCTTTGAGGATTTCTTTGGAAACGGGATTACATATAAAAAG
Source organism: Homo sapiens (assembly GCF_000001405.40). Classification (NCBI taxonomy): domain Eukaryota; kingdom Metazoa; phylum Chordata; class Mammalia; order Primates; family Hominidae; genus Homo; species Homo sapiens. The sequence goes on from NC_000002.12 coordinate 93,675,127, forward strand.
CAGACAGCAGCATTCCCAGTAACTTCTTTGTGATGTTTGCATTCAAGTCACAGAGTTGAACATTCCCTTTCATAGAGCAGGTGTGAAACACTCTTTTTGTAGTATCTGGATGTGGACATTTGGAGCGCTTTCAGGCCTATGGTGAAAAAGGAAATATCTTCCCCTGAAAACTAGACAGAAGCATTCTCAGAATCTTATTTGTGATGTGCGCCCTCAACTAACAGTGTTGAACCTTTCTTTTGATAGAGCAGTTTTGAAACACTCTTTTTGTAATATCTGCAAGAGGATATTTGGATAGCTTTGAGGATTTCGTTGGAAACGGGATTGTCTTCATATAAACTCTAGACAGAAGCATTCTCAGAAGCGTCATTGGGATGTTTCAATTGAAGTCACAGTGTTGAACAGTCCCTTTCATAGAGCAGGTTTGAAACACTCTTTTTGTAGTATCTGGATGTGGACATTTGGAGCGCTTTCAGGCCTATGGTTTAAAAGGAAATATCTTCCCTTGAAAACTAGACAGAAGCATTCTCAGAAACTTATTTGTGATGTGCGCCCTCAACTAACAGTGTTGAACCTTTCTTTTGATAGAGCAGTTTTGAAACACTCTTTTTGTAATATCTGCAAGAGGATATTTGGATAGCTTTGAGGATTTCGTTGGAAACGGGATTACATATAAAAAGCAGACAGCAGCATTCTCAGTAAACTTATTTGTGATGTGCGCCCTCAACTAACAGTGTTGAACCTTTCTTTTGATAGAGCAGTTTTGAAACACTCTTTTTGTAATATCTGCAAGAGGATATTTGGATAGCTTTGAGGATTTCGTTGGAAACGGGATTGTCTTCATATAAACTCTAGACAGAAGCATTCTCAGAAGCTTCATTGGGATGTTTCAATTGAAGTCACAGTGTTGAACAGTCCCTTTCGTAGAGCAGGTTTGAAACACTCTTTTTGTAATATCTGGAAGTGAACATTTGGAGCGTTCTCAGGACTACGGTGAAAAAGGGAATATCTTCCAATAAAAGCTAGATAGAAGCAATGTCAGAAAATTTTTCATGATGTATCTACTCAGCTAACAGAGTTGAACCTTTCTTTTGACAGAGCAGTTTTGAAACACTCTTTTTGTGGAATCTGCAAGTGGATATTTGTCTAGCTTTGAGGATTTCGTTGGAAACGGGATTACATATAAAAAGCAGACAGCAGCATTCCCAGTAACTTCTTTGTGATGTTTGCATTCAAGTCACAGAGTTGAACATTCCCTTTCATAGAGCAGGTTTGAAACACTCTTTTTGAAGTATCTGGATGTGGACATTTTGAGCGCTTTCAGGCCTATGGTGAAAAAGGAAATATCTTCCCCTGAAAACTAGACAGAAGCATTCTCAGAAACTTATTTGTGATGTGCGCCCTCAACTAACAGTGTTGAACCTTTCTTTTGATAGAGCAGTTTTGAAACACTCTTTTTGTAAAATCTGCAAGAAGATATTTGGATAGCTTTGAGGATTTCGTTGGAAACGGGATTGTCTTCATATAAACTCTAGACAGAAGCATTCTCAGAAGCTTCATTGGGATGTTTCAATTGAAGTCACAGTGTTGAACAGTCCCTTTCATAGAGCAGGTTTGAAACACTCTTTTTGTAGTATCTGGATGTGGACATTTCGAGCGCTTTCAGGCCTATGGTGAAAAAGGAAATATCTTCCCCTGAAAACTAGACAGAAGCATTCTCAGAAACTTATTTGTGATGTGCGCCCTCAACTAACAGTGTTGAAGCATTCTTTTGATAGAGCAGTTTTGAAACACTCTTTTTGTGGAATCTGCAAGTGGATATTTGTCTAGCTTTGAGGATTTCGTTGGAAACGGGATTACATATAAAAAGCAGACAGCAGCATTCTCAGTAAACTTATTTGTGATGTGCGCCCTCAACTAACAGTGTTGAACCTTTCTTTTGATAGAGCAGTTTTGAAACACTCTTTTTGTAATATCTGCAAGAGGATATTTGGATAGCTTTGAGGATTTCGTTGGAAACGGGATTGTCTTCATATAAACTCTAGACAGAAGCATTCTCAGAAGCTTCATTGGGATGTTTCAATTGAAGTCACAGTGTTGAACAGTCCCTTTCATAGAGCAGGTTTGAAACACTCTTTTTGTAGTATCTGGAAGTGGACATTTGGAGAGTTCTCAGGAATACGGTGAAAAAGGAAATATCTTCCAATAAAAGCTAGATAGAAGCAATGTCAGAATCTTTTTCATGATGTGTCTACTCAGCTAACAGAGTTGAACCTTCCTTTGAGAGAGCAGTTTTGAAACACTCTTTTTGTGGAATCTGCAAGTGGATATTTGTCTAGCTTTGAGGATTTCGTTGGAAACGGGATTACATATAAAAAGCAGACAGCAGCATTCCCAGAAACTTCTTTGTGATGTTTGCATTCAAGTCACAGAGTTGAACATTCCCTTTCATAGAGCAGGTTTGAAACACTCTTTTTGTAGTATCTGGATGTGGACATTTGGAGCGCTCTCAGGCCTATGGTGAAAAAGGAAATATCTTCCCCTGCAAACTAGACAGAAGCATTCTCAGAAACTTATTTGTGATGTGCGCCCTCAACTAACAGTGTTGAACCTTTCTTTTGATACAGCAGTTTTGAAACACTCTTTTTGTAAAATCTGCAAGAGGATATTTGGATAGCTTTGAGGATTTCGTTGGAAACGGGATTGTCTTCATATAAACTCTAGACAGAAGCATTCTCAGATGCTTCATTGGGATGTTTCAATTGAAGTCACAGTGTTGAACAGTCCCATTCATAGAGCAGGTTTGAAACACTCTTTTTGTAGTATCTGGATGTGGACATTTGGAGCGCTTTCAGGCCTATGGTAAAAAAGGAAATATCTTCCCCTGAAAACTAGACAGAAGCATTCTCAGAAACTTATTTGTGATGTGCGCCCTCAACTAACAGTGTTGAAGCTTTCTTTTGATAGAGCAGTTTTGAAACACTCTTTTTGTAATATCTGCAAGAGGACATTTGGATAGCTTTGAGGATTTCGTTGGAAACGGGATTAATTATAAAAAGCAGACAGCAGGATTCTCAGAATCTTATTTGTGATGTGCGCCCTCAACTAACAGTGTTGAAGCTTTCTTTTGATAGAGCAGTTTTGAAACACTCTTTTTGTAAAATCTGCAAGAGGATATTTGGATAGCTTTGAGGATTTCGTTGGAAACGGGATTGTCTTCATATAAACTCTAGACAGAAGCATTCTCAGAAGCTTCATTGGGATGTTTCAATTGAACTCACAGTGTTGAAAAGTCCCTTTCATAGAGCAGGTTTGAAACACTCTTTTTGTAGTATCTGGAAGTGGACATTTGGAGAGGTCTCAGGAATACGGTGATAAAGGAAATATCTTCCTATAAAAGCTAGATAGAAGCAATGTCAGAAACTTTTTCATGATGTATCTACACAGCTAACAGAGTTGAACCTTTCTTTTGAGAGAGCAGTTTTGAAACACTCTTTTTGTGGAATCTGCAAGTGGATATTTGTCTAGCTTTGAGGATTTCGTTGGAAACGGGATTACATATAAAAAGCAGACAGCAGCATTCCCAGAAACTTCTTTGTGATGTTTGCATTCAAGTCACAGAGTTGAACATTCCCTTTCAGAGAGCAGGTTTGAAACACTCTTTTTGTAGTATCTGGATGTGGACATTTGGAGCGCTTTCAGGCCTATGGTGAAAAAGGAAATATCTTCCCCTGAAAACTAGACAGAAGCATTCTCAGAATCTTATTTGTGATGTGCGCCCTCAACTAACAGTGTTGAAGCTTTCTTTTGATAGAGCAGTTTTGAAACACTCTTTTTGTAAAATCTGCAAGAGGATATTTGGATAGCTTTGAGGATTTAATTGGTAACGGGATTGTCTTCATATAAACTCTAGACAGAAGCATTCTCAGAAGCTTCATTGGGATGTTTCAATTGAAGTCACAGTGTTGAACAGTCCCTTTCATAGAGCAGGTTTGAAACACTCTTTTTGTAGTATCTGGAAGTGGACATTTGGAGAGATCTCAGGAATACGGTGATAAAGGAAATATCTTCCAATAAAAGCTAGATAGAAGCAATGTCAGAAACTTTTTCATGATGTATCTACTCAGCTAACAGAGTTGAACCTTTCTTTTGAGAGAGCAGTTTTGAAACACTCTTTTTGTGGAATCTGCAAGTGGATATTTGTCTAGCTTTGAGGATTTCATTGGAAACGGGATTACATATAAAAAGCAGACAGCAGTATTCCCAGAAACTTCTTTGTGATGTTTGCATTCACGTCACAGAGTTGAACATTCCCTTTCATAGAGCAGGTTTGAAACACTCTTTTTGTAGTATCTGGAAGTGGACATTTGGAGCGCTCTCAGGACTACGGTGAAAAAGGAAATATCTTCCAATAAAAGCTAGATAGAAGCATTCTCAGAAACTTATTTGTGATGTGCGCCCTCAACTAACAGTGTTGAAGCTTTCTTTTGATAGAGCAGTTTTGAAACACTCTTTTTGTAAAATCTGCAAGAGGATATTTGGATAGCTTTGAGGATTTCGTTGGAAACGGGATTGTCTTCATATAAACTCTAGACAGAAGCATTCTCAGAAGCTTCATTGGGATGTTTCAATTGAAGTCACAGTGTTGAACAGTCCCTTTCATAGAGCAGGTTTGAAACACTCTTTTTGTAGTATCTGGATGTGGACATTTGGAGCGCTTTCAGGCCTATGGTGAAAAAGGAAATATCTTCCCCTGAAAACTAGAGAGAAGCATTCTCAGAATCTTATTTGTGATGTGCGCCCTCAACTAACAGTGTTGAAGCTTACTTTTGATAGAGCAGTTTTGAAACACTCTTTTTGTGGAATCTGCAAGTGGATATTTGTCTAGCTTTGAGGATTTCGTTGGAAACGGGATTACATATAAAAAGCAGACAGCAGCATTCTCAGAAACTTATTTGTGATGTGCACCCTCAACTAACAGTGTTGAAGCTTTCTTTTGACAGAGCTGTTTGAAACACTCTTTTTGTAAAATCTGCAAGAGGATATTTGGATAGCTTTGAGGATTTCGTTGGAAACGGGATTGTCTTCATATAAACTCTAGACAGAAGCATTCTCAGAAGCTACATTGGGATGTTTCAATTGAAGTCACAGTGTTGAACAGTCCCTTTCATAGAGCAGGTTTGAAAAACTCATTTTGTAGTATCTGGAAGTGGACATTTGGAGCGCTCTCAGGACTACGGTGAAAAAAGAAATATCTTCCAATAAAAGCTAGATAGAAGCAATGTCAGAAACTTTTCATGAAGTATCTACTCAGCTAACAGAGTTGAACATTTTTTTTGAGAGAGCAGTTTTGAAATACGCTTTTTGTGGAATCTGCAGGTGGATATTTGTCTAGCTTTCAGGATTTCGTTGGAAACGGGATTACATATAAAAAGCAGACAGCAGCATTCCCAGGAACTTCTCTGTGATGTTTGCATTCAAGTCAGAGAGTTGAACATTCCCTTTCAGAGAGCAGGTTTGAAACACTCTTTTTGTAGTATCTCGATGTGGACATTTGGAGCGCTTTCAGGCCTATGGTGAAAAAGGAAATATCTTCCCCTGAAAACTAGACAGAAGCATTCTCAGTAATCTTATTTGTGATGTGCGCCCTCAACTAACAGTGTTGAAACTTTCTTTTGATAGAGCAGTTTTGAAACACTCTTTTTGTAAAATCTGTAAGAGGATATTTCGATAGCTTTGAGGATTTCGTTGGAAACGGGATTGTCTTCATATAAACTCTAGACAGAAGCATTCTCAGAAGCTTCATTGGGATGTTTCAATTGAAGTCACAGTGTTGAACAGTCCCTTTCATAGAGCAGGTTTGAAACACTCTTTTTGTAGTATCTGGATGTGGACATTTGGAGCGCTTTCAGGCCTATGGTGAAAAAGGAAATATCTTCCCCTGAAAACTAGACAGAAGCATTCTCAGAAACTTATTTGTGATGTGCGCCCTCAACTAACAGTGTTGAAGCATTCTTTTGATAGAGCAGTTTTGAAACACTCTTTTTGTGGAATCTGCAAGTGGATATTTGTCTAGCTTTGAGGATTTCGTTGGAAACGGGATTACATATGAAAAGCAGACAGCAGCATTCTCAGAAACTTATTTGTGATGTGCGCCCTCAACTAACAGTGTTGAAGCTTTCTTTTGATAGAGCAGTTTTGAAACACTCTTTTTGTAATATCTGCAAGAGGATATTTGGATAGCTTTGAGGATTTCGTTGGAAACGGGATTAATTATACAAAGCAGACAGCAGGATTCTCAGAAGCTTCATTGGGATGTTTCAATTGAAGTCACAGTGTTGAACAGTCCCTTTCATAGAGCAGGTTTGAAACACTCTTTTTGTAGTATCTGGAAGTGGACTTGTGGAGCGTTCTCAGGACTACAGTGAAAAAGGAAATATCTTCCTATAAAAGCTAGATAGAAGCAATGTCAGAAACTTTTTCATGATGTATCTACTCAGCTAACAGAGTTGAACCTTCCTTTGAGAGAGCAGTTTTGAAACACTCTTTTTGTGGAATCTGCAAGTGGATATTTGTCTAGCTTTGAGGATTTCGTTGGAAACGGGATTACATATAAAAAGCAGACAGCAGCATTCCCAGAAACTTCTTTGTGATGTTTGCATTCAAGTCACAGAGTTGAACATTCCCTTTCAGAGAGCAGGTTTGAAACACTCTTTTTGTAGTATCTGGATGTGGACATTTGGAGCGCTTTCAGGCCTATGGTGAAAAAGGAAATATCTTCCCCTGAAAACTAGACAGAAGCATTCTCAGAATTTTATTTGTGATGTGCGCCCTCAACTAACAGTGTTGAAGCTTTCTTTTGATAGAGCAGTTTTGAAACACTCTTTTTGTAAAATCTGCTAGAGAATATTTGGATAGCTTTGAGGATTTCTTTGGAAACGGGATTGTCTTCATATAAACTCTAGACAGAAGCATTCTCAGAAGCTTCATTGGGATGTTTCAATTGAAGTCACAGTGTTGAACAGTCCCTTTCATAGAGCAGGTTTGAAACACTCTTTTTGTAGTATCTGGATGTGGACATTTGGAGCGCTTTCAGGCCTATGGTGAAAAAGGAAATATCTTCCCCTGAAAACTAGACAGAAGCATTCTCAGAAACTTATTTGTGATGTGCGCCCTCAACTAACAGTGTTGAAGCTTTCTTTTGATAGAGCAGTTTTGAAACACTCTTTTTGTAATATCTGCAAGAGGATATTTGGATAGCTTTGAGGATTTCGTTGGAAACGGGATTAATTATAAAAAGCAGACAGCAGCATTCTCAGAAACTTATTTGTGATGTGCGCCCTCAACTAACAGTGTTAAAGCTTTCTTTTGATAGAGCAGTTTTGAAACACTCTTTTTGTAATATCTGCAAGAGGATATTTGGATAGCTTTGAGGATTTCGTTGGAAACGGGATTGTCTTCATATAAACTCCAGACAGAAGCATTCTCAGAAGCTTCATTGGGATGTTTCAACAGAAGTCACAGTGTTGAACAGTCCCTTTCATAGAGCAGGTTTGAAACACTCTTTTTGTAGTATGTGGAAGTGGACATTTGGAGAGTTCTCAGGAATACCGTGAAAAAGGAACTATCTTCCAATAAAAGCTAGATAGAAGCAATGTCAGAAACTTTTTCATGATGTATCTACTCAGCTAACAGAGTTGAACCTTTCTTTTGAGAGAGCAGTTTTGAAACACTCTTTTTGTGGAATCTGCAAGTGGATATTTGACTAGCTTTGAGGATTTCGTTGGAAACGGGATTACATATAAAAAGCAGACAGCCAGCATTCCCAGTAACTTCTTTGTGATGTTTGCATTCAAGTCACAGTAGTTGAACATTCCCTTTCATAGAGCAGGTTTGAAACACTCTTTTTGAAGTATCTGGTTGTGGACATTTGGAGCGCTTTCAGGCCTATGGTGAAAAAGGAAATATCTTCCCCTGAAAACTAGACAGAGCATTCTCAGAATCTTATTTGTGATGTGCGCCCTCAACTAACAGTGTTGAAGCTTTCTTTTGATAGAGCAGTTTTGAAACACTCTTTTTGTAAAATCTGCAAGAGGATATTTGGATAGCTTTGAGGATTTCGTTGGAAACGGGATTGTCTTCATATAAACTCTAGACAGAAGCATTCTCAGATGCTTCATTGGGATGTTTCAATTGAAGTCACAGTGTTGAACAGTCCCTTTTATAGAGCAGGTTTGAAACACTCTTTTTGTAGTATCTGGATGTGGACATTTGGAGCGCTTTCAGGCCTATGGTGAAAAAGGAAATATCTTCCCCTGAAAACTAGACAGAAGCATTCTCAGAAACTTATTTGTGATGTGCGCCCTCAACTAACAGTGTTGAAGCATTCTTTTGATAGAGCAGTTTTGAAACACTCTTTTTGTGGAATCTGCAAGTGGATATTTGTCTAGCTTTGAGGATTTCGTTGGAAACGGGATTACATATAAAAAGCAGACAGCAGCATTCCCAGAAACTTCTTTGTGATGTTTGCACTCAAGTCACAGAGTTGAACATTCCCTTTCATAGAGCAGGTTTGAAACACTCTTTTTGTAGTATCTGAATGTGGACATTTGGAGCGCTTTCAGGCCTATGGTGAAAAAGGAAATATCTTCCCCTGAACACTAGACAGAAGCATTCTCAGAAGCTTCATTGGGATGTTTCAATTGAAGTCACAGTGTTGAACAGTCCCTTTCATAGAGCAGGTTTGAAACACTCTTTTTGTAGTATCTGGAAGTGGACATTTGGAGCGCTCTCAGGACTACGGTGAAAAAGGAAGTATCTTCCAATAAAAGCTAGATAGAAGCAATGTCAGAAACTTTTTCATGATGTATCTACTCAGCTAACAGAGTTGAACCTTTCTTTTGAGAGAGCAGTTTTGAAACACTCTTTTTGTGGAATCTGCAAGTGGATATTTGTCTAGCTTTGAGGATTTCGTTGGAAACGGGATTACATATAAAAACTAGACAGCAGCATTCCCAGAAACTTCTTTGTGATGTTTGCATTCAAGTCACAGAGTTGAACATTCCCTTTCATAGAGCAGGTTTGAAACACTCTTTTTGTAGTATCTGGATGTGGACATTTGGAGTGCTTTCAAGCCTATGGTGAAAAAGGAAATATCTTCCCCTGAAAACTAGACAGAAGCATTCTCAGAATCTTATTTGTGATGTGCACCCTCAACTAACAGTGTTGAAGCTTTCTTTTGATAGAGCAGTTTTGAAACACTCTTTTTGTAAAATCTGCAAGAGGATATTTGGATAGCTTTGAGGATTTCTTTGGAAACGGGATTGTCTTCATATAAACTCTAGACAGAAGCATTCTCAGAAGCTTCATTGGGATGTTTCAATTGAAGTCACAGTGTTGAACAGTCCCTTTCATAGAGCAGGTTTGAAACACTCTTTTTGTAGTATCTGGAAGTGGACATTTGGAGCGCTCTCAGGACTGCGGTGAAAAAGGAAATATCTTCCAATAAAAGCTACATAGAAGCAATGTCAGAAACTTTTTCAGGATGTATCTACTCAGCTAAAAGAGTTGAAACTTTCTTTAGAGAGAGGAGTTTTGAAACACTATTTTTGTGGAATCTGCAAGTGGATATTTGTCTAGCTTTGAGGATTTCGTTGGAAACGGGATTACATATAAAAAGCAGACAGCAGCATTCCCAGAAACTTCTTTGTGATGTTTGCATTCAAGTCACAGAGTTGAACATTCCCTTTCATAGAGCAGGTTTGAAACACTCTTTTTGTAGTATCTGGATGTGGACATTTGCAGCGCTTTCAGGCCTAAGGTGAAAAAGGAAATATCTTCCCCTGAAAACTAGACAAAAGCATTCTCAGAAACTTATTTGTGATGTGCGCCCTCAACTAACAGTGTTGAAGCTTTCTTTTGATAGAGCAGTTTTGAAACACTCTTTTTGTAATATCTGCAAGAGGATATTTGGATAGCTTTGAGGATTTCGTTGGAAACGGGATTGTCTTCATATAAACTCTAGACAGAAGCATTCTCAGAAGCTTCATTGGGATGTTTCAATTGAAGTCACAGTGTTGAACAGTCCCTTTCATAGAGCAGGTTTGAAACACTCTTTTTGTAGTATCTGGATGTGGACATTTGGAGCGCTTTCAGGCCTATGGTTTAAAAGGAAATATCTTCCCCTGAAAACTAGACAGAAGCATTCTCAGAAACTTATTTGTGATGTGCGCCCTCAACTAACAGTGTTGAAGCTTTCTTTTGATAGAGCAGTTTTGAAACACTCTTTTTGTGGAATCTGCAAGTGGATATTTGTCTAGCTTTGAGGATTTCGTTGGAAACGGGATTACATATAAAAAGCAGACAGCAGCATTCTCAGTAAACTTATTTGTGATGTGCGCCCTCAACTAACAGTGTTGAACCTTTCTTTTGATAGAGCAGTTTTGAAACACTCTTTTTGTAATATCTGCAAGAGGATATTTGGATAGCTTTGAGGATTTCGTTGGAAACGGGATTGTCTTCATATAAACTCTAGACAGAAGCATTCTCAGAAGCTTTATTGGGATGTTTCAATTGAAGTCACAGTGTTGAACAGTCCCTTTCATAGAGCAGGTTTGAAACACTCTTTTTGTAGTATCTGGAAGTGGACATTTGGAGCGCTCTCAGGACTGCGGTGAAAAAGGAAATATCTTCCAATAAAAGCTAGATAGAAGCAATGTCAGAAAATTTTTCATGATGTATCTACTCAGCTAACAGAGTTGAAACTTTCTTTTGAGAGAGCAGGTTGGAAACACTCTTTTTGTGGAATCTGCAAGTGGATATTTGTCTAGCTTTGAGGATTTCGTTGGAAACGGGATTACATGTAAAAAGCAGACAGCAGCATTCCCAGAAACTTCTTTGTGATATTTGCATTCAAGTCACGGACTTGAACATTCCCTTTCATAGAGCATGTTTGAAACACTCTTTTTGTAGTATCTGGATGTGGACATTTGGAGCGCTTTCAGGCCTATGGTGAAAAAGGAAATATCTTCCCCTGAAAATTAGACAGAAGCATTCTCAGAATCTTATTTGTGATGTGCGCCCTCAACTAACAGTGTTGAAGCTTTCTTTTGATAGAGCAGTTTTGAAACACTCTTTTTGTAAAATCTGCAAGAGGATATTTGGATAGCTTTGAGGATTTCGTTGGAAACGGGGTTGTCTTCATATAAACTCTAGACAGAAGCATTCTCAGAAGCTTCATTGGGATGTTTCAATTGAAGTCACAGTGTTGAACAGTCCCTTTCATAGAGCAGGTTTGAAACACTCTTTTTGTAGTATCTGGATGTGGACATTTAGAGCGCTTTCAGGCCTATGGTGAAAAAGGAAATATCTTCCCCTGAAAACTAGACAGAAGCATTCTCAGAAACTTATTTGTGATGTGCGCCCTCAACTAACAGTGTTGAAGCTTTCTTTTGATAGAGCAGTTTTGAAACACTCTTTTTGTGGAATCTGCAAGTGGATATTTGTCTAGCTTTGAGGATTTCGTTGGAAACGGGATTACATATAAAAAGCAGACAGCAGCATTCTCAGAAACTTATTTGTGATGTGCGCCCTCAACTAACAGTGTTGAAGCTTTCTTTTGATAGAGCAGTTTTGAAACACTCTTTTTGTAATATCTGCAAGAGGATATTTGGATAGCTTTGAGGATTTCGTTGGAAACGGGATTAATTATACAAAGCAGACAGCAGCATTCTCAGAAGCTTCATTGGGATGTTTCAATTGAAGTCACAGTGTTGAACAGTCCCTTCCATAGAGCAGGTTTGAAACACTCTTTTTGTAGTATATGGAAGTGGACATTTGGAGCGTTCTCAGGACTACAGTGAAAAAGGAAATATCTTCCAATAAAAGCTAGATAGAAGCAATGTCAGAAACTTTTTCATGATGTATCTCCTCAGCTAACAGAGTTGAACCATTCTTTTGAGAGAGCAGTTTTGAAACACTCTTTTTGTGGAATCTGCAAGTGGATATTTGTCTAGCTTTGAGGATTTCGTTGGAAACGGGATTACATATAAAAAGCAGACAGCAGCATTCCCAGAAACTTCTTTGTGATGTTTGCATTCAAGTCACAGAGTTGAACATTCCCTTTCATAGAGCAGGTTTGATACACTCTTTTTGTAGTATCTGGATGTGGACATTTGGCGCGCTTTCAGGCCTATGGTGAAAAAGGAAATATCTTCCCCTGAAAACTAGACAGAAGCATTCTCAGAATCTTATTTGTGATGTGCGCCCTCAACTAACAGTGTTGAAGCTTTCTTTTGATAGAGCAGTTTTGAAACACTCTTTTTGTAAAATCTGCAAGAGGATATTTGGAAAGCTTTGAGGATTTCGTTGGAAACGGGATTGTCTTCATATAAACTCTAGACAGAAGCATTCTCAGAAGCTTCATTGGGATGTTTCAATTGAAGTCACAGTGTTGAACAGTCCCTTTCATAGAGCAGGTTTGAAACACTCTTTTTGTAGTATCTGGATGTGGACATTTCGAGCGCTTTCAGGCCTATGGTGAAAAAGGAAATATCTTCCCCTGAAAACTAGACAGAAGCATTCTCAGAAACTTATTTGTGATGTGCGCCCTCAACTAACAGTGTTGAAGCATTCCTTTGATAGAGCAGTTTTGAAACACTCTTTTTGTGGAATCTGCAAGTGGATATTTGTCTATCTTTGAGGATTTCGTTGGAAACGGGATTATATATAAAAAGCAGACAGCAGCATTCTCAGAAACTTATTTGTGATGTGCGCCCTCAACTAACAGTGTTGAAGCTTTATTTTGATAGAGCAGTTTTGAAACACTCTTTTTGTAATATCTGCAAGAGAATATTTGGATAGCTTTGAGGATTTCGTTGGAAACGGGATTGTCTTCATATAAACTCTAGAAAGAAGCATTCTCAGAAGCTTCATTGGGATGTTTCAATTGAAGTCACAGTGTTGAACAGTCACTTTCATAGAGCAGGTTTGAAACACTCTTTTTGTAGCATCTGGAAGTGGACATTTGGAGCGTTCTCAGGACTACGGTGAAAAAGGAAATATCTTCCAATAAAAGCTAGATAGAAGCAATGTCAGAAACTTTTTCATGATGTATCTACTCAGCTAACAGAGTTGAACCTTTCTTTTGAGAGAGCAGTTTTGAAACACTCTTTTTGTGGAATCTGCAAGTGCATATTTGTCTAGCTTTGAGGATTTCGTTGGAAACGGGATTACATATAAAAAGCAGACAGCAGCATTCCCAGTAACTTCTTTGTGATGTTTGCATTCAAGTCACAGAGTTGAACATTCCCTTTCATAGAGCAGGTTTGAAACACTTTTTTTGTAGTATCTGGATGTGGACATTTGGAGCGCTTTCAGGCCTATGGTGAAAAAGGAAATATCTTCCAATAAAAGCTACATAAAAGCATTCTCAGAATCTTATTTGTGATGTGCGCCCTCAACTAACAGTGTTGAAGGTTTCTTTTGATAGAGCAGTTTTGAAACACTCTTTTTGTAAAATCTGCAAGAGGATATTTGGATAGCTTTGAGGATTTCGTTGGAAACGGGATTGTCTTCATATAAACTCTAGACAGAAGCATTCTCAGAAGCTTCATTGGGATGTTTCAATTGAAGTCACAGTGTTGAACAGTCCCTTTCATAGAGCAGGTTTGAAACACTCTTTTTGTAGAATCTGGATGTGGACATTTGGAGCGCTTTCAGGCATAAGGTGAAAAAGGAAATATCTTCCCCTGAAAACTAGACAGAAGCATTCTCAGAAACTTATTTGTGATGTGCCCACTCAACTAACAGTGTTGAAGCATTCTTTTGATAGAGCAGTTTTGAAACACTCTTTTTGTGGAATCTGCAAGTGGATATTTGTCTAGCTTTGAGGATTTCGTTGGAAACGGGATTACATATAAAAAGCAGACAGCAGCATTCTCAGAAACTTATTTGTGATGTGCGCCCTCAACTAACAGTGTTGAAGCTTTATTTTGATAGAGCAGTTTTGAAACACTCTTTTTGTAATATCTGCAAGAGAATATTTGGATAGCTTTGAGGATTTCGTTGGAAACGGGATTGTCTTCATATAAACTCTAGAAAGAAGCATTCTCAGAAGCTTCATTGGGATGTTTCAATTGAAGTCACAGTGTTGAACAGTTCCTTTCATAGAACAGGTTTGAAACACTCTTTTTGTAGTATCTGGAAGTGGACATTTGGAGCGCTCTCAGGACTATGGTGAAAAAGGAAATATCTTCCAATAAAAGCTACATAGAAGCAATGTCAGAAACTTTTTCATGATGTATCTACTCAGCTAACAGAGTTGAACCTTTCTTTTGAGAGAGCAGTTTTGAAACACTCTTTTTGTAAAATCTGCAAGAGGATATTTGGATAGCTTTGAGGATTTCGTTGGAAACGGGATTGTCTTCATATAAACTCTAGACAGAAGCATTCCCAGAAACTTCTTTGTGACGTTTGCATTCAAGTCACAGAGTTGAACATTCCCTTTCATAGAGCAGGTTTGAAACACTCTTTTTGTAGTATCTGGATGTGGACATTTGGAGCGCTTTCAGGCCTATGGTGAAAAAGGAAATATCTTCCCCTGAAAACTAGACAGAAGCATTCTCAGAATCTTATTTGTGATGTGCGCCCTCAACTAACAGTGTTGAAGCTTTCTTTTGATAGAGCAGTTTTGAAACACTCTTTTTGTAAAATCTGCAAGAGGATATTTGGATAGCTTTGAGGATTTCGTTGGAAACGGGATTGTCTTCATATAAACTCTAGACAGAAGCATTCTCAGAAGCGTCATTGGGATGTTTCAATTGAAGTCACAGTGTTGAACAGTCCCTTTCATAGAGCAGGTTTGAAACACTCTTTTTGTAGTATCTGGATGTGGACATTTGGAGCGCTTTCAGCCCTATGGTGAAAAAGGAAATATCTTCCCCTGAAAACTAGACAGAAGCATTCTCAGAAACTTATTTGTGATGTGCGCCCTCAACTAACAGTGTTGAAGCTTTCTTTTGATAGAGCAGTTTTGAAACACTCTTTTTGTGGAATCTGCAAGTGGATATTTGTCTAGCTTTGAGGATTTCGTTGGAAACGGGATTACATATAAAAAGCAGACAGCAGCATTCTCAGCAAACTTATTTGTGATGTGCGCCCTCAACTAACAGTGTGGAACTTTTCTTTTGATAGAGCAGTTTTGAAACACTCTTTTTGTAAAATCTGCAAGAGGATATTTGGATAGCTTTGAGGATTTCGTTGGAAACGGGATTGTCTTCATATAGAATCTAGACAGAAGCATTCTCAGAAGCTTCATTGGGATGTTTCAATTGAAGTCACAGTGTTGAACAGTCCCTTTCATAGAGCAGGTTTGAAACACTCTTTTTGTAGTATCTGGAAGTGGACATTTGGAGCGCTCTCAGGACTCCGGTGATAAAGGAAATATCTTCCAATAAAAGCTAGATAGAAGCAATGTCAGAAACTTTTTCATGATGTATCTACTCAGCTAACAGAGTTGAACCTTTCTTTTGAGAGAGCAGTTTTGAAACACTCTTTTTGTGGAATCTGCAAGTGGATATTTGTCTAGCTTTGAGTATTTCGTTGGAAACGGGATTACATATAAAAAGCAGACAGCAGCATTCCCAGTAACTTCTTTGTGATGTTTGCATTCAAGTCACAGAGTTGAACATTCCCTTTCATAGAGCAGGTTTGAAACACTCTTTTTGTAGTATCTGGATGTGGACATTTGGAGCGCTTTCAGGCCTATGGTGAAAAAGGAAATATCTTCCCCTGAAAACTAGACAGAAGCATTCTCAGAATCTTATTTGTGATGTGCGCCCTCAACTAACAGTGTTGAAGCTTTCTTTTGATAGAGCAGTTTTGAAACACTCTTTTTGTAAAATCTGCAAGAGGATATTTCGATAGCTTTGAGGATTTCATTGGAAACGGGATTGTCTTCATATAAACTCTAGACAGAAGTATTCTCAGAAACTTATTTGTGATGTGCGCCCTCAACTAACAGTGTTGAAGCTTTGTTTTGATAGAGCAGTTTTGAAACACTCTTTTTGTAAAATCTGCAAGAGGATATTTGGATAGCTTTGAGGATTTCGTTGGAAACGGGATTGTCTTCATATTAACCCTAGACAGTAGCATTCTCAGAAGCTTCATTGGGATGTTTCAATTGAAGTCACAGTGTTGAACAGTCCCTTTCATAGAGCAGGTTTGAAACACTCTTTTTTTAGCATCTGGAAGTGGACATTTGGAGCGTTCTCAGGACTACGGTGAAAAAGGAAATATCTTCCAATAAAAGCTAGAAAGAAGCAATGTCAGAAACTTTTTCATCATGTATCTACTCAGCTAAAAGAATTGAACCTTTCTTTTGAGAGAGCAGTTTTGAAACACTCTTTTTGTAAAATCTGCAAGAGGATATTTGGATAGCTTTGAGGATTTCGTTGGAAACGGGATTGTCTTCATATAGAATCTAGACAGAAGCATTCTCAGAAGCTTCATTGGGATGTTTCAATTAAAGTCACAGTGTTGAATATTCCCTTTCATAGAGCAGGTTTGAAACACTCTTTTTGTAGTATCTGGAAGTGGACATTTGTAGCGCTCTCAGGACTATGGTGAAAAAGGAAATATCTTCCAATAAAAGCTAGATAGAAGCAATGACAGAAACTTTTTCATGATGTATCTACTCAGCTAACAGAGTTGAACCTTTCCTTTGAGAGAGCAGTTTTGAAACACTCTTTTTGTGGAATCTGCAAGTGGATATTTGTCTAGCTTTGAGGATTTCGTTGGAAACGGGATTACATATAAAAAGCAGACAGCAGCATTCCCAGTAACTTCTTTGTGATGTTTGCATTCAAGTCACATAGTTGAACATTGCCTTTCATAGAGCAGGTTTGAAACACTCTTTTTGTAGTATCTGGATGTGGACATTTGGAGCGCTTTCAGGCCTGTGGTGAAAAAGGAAATATCTTCTCCTGAAAACTAGACAGAAAGCATTCTCAGAATCTTATTGGTGATGTGCGCCCTCAACTAACAGTGTTGAAGCTTTCTTTTGATAGAGCAGTTTTGAAACACTCTTTTCGTAAAATCTGCAAGAGGATATTTGGATAGCTTTGAGGATTTCGTTGGAAACGGGATTGTCTTCATATAAACTCTAGACAGAAGCATTCTCAGAAGCTTCATTGGAATGTTTCAATTGAAGTCACAGTGTTGAACAGTCCCTTTCATAGAGCAGGTTTGAAACACTCTTTTTGTAGTATCTGGATGTGGACATTTGGAGCGCTTTCAGGCCTATGGTTTAAAAGGAAATATCTTCCCCTGAAAACTAGACAGAAGCATTCTCAGAAACTTATTTGTGATGTGCGCCCTCAACTAACAGTGTTGAAGCTTTCTTTTGATAGAGCAGTTTTGAAACACTCTTTTTGTGGAATCTGCAAGTGGATATTTGTCTAGCTTTGAGGATTTCGTTGGAAACGGGATTACATATAAAAAGCAGACAGCAGCATTCTCAGTAAACTTATTTGTGATGTGCGCCCTCAACTAACAGTGTTGAACCTTTCTTTTGATAGAGCAGTTTTGAAACACTCTTTTTGTAATATCTGCAAGAGGATATTTGGATAGCTTTGAGGATTTCGTTGGAAACGGGATTGTCTTCATATAAACTCTAGACAGAAGCATTCTCAGAAGCTTCATTGGGATGTTTCAATTGAAGTCACAGTGTTGAACAGTCCCTTTCATAGAGCAGGTTTGAAACACTCTTTTTGTAGTATCTGGAAGTGGACATTTGGAGCGCTCTCAGGACTGCGGTGAAAAAGGAAATATCTTCCAATAAAAGCTAGATAGAAGCAATGTCAGAAACTTTTTCATGATGTGTCTACTCAGCTAACAGAGTTGAACCTTTCTTTTGAGAGACCAGTTTTGAAACACTCTTTTTGTGGAATCTGCAAGTGGGTATTTGTCTAGCTTTGAGGATTTCGTTGGAAACGGAATTACATATAAAAAGCAGACAGCAGCATTCCCAGAAACTTCTTTGTGATGTTTGCATTCAAGTCACAGAGTTGAACATTCCCTTTCAGAGAGCAGGTTTGAAACACTCTTTTTGTAGTATCTGGATGTGGACATTTGGAGCGCTTTCAGGCCTATGGTGAAAAAGGAAATATCTTCTCCTGAAAACTAGACAGAAGCATTCTCAGAATCTTATTTGTGATGTGCGCCCTCAACTAACAGTGTTGAAGCTTTCTTTTGATAGAGCAGTTTTGAAACACTCTTTTTGTAAAATCTGCAAGAGGATATTTGGATAGCTTTGAGGATTTCGTTGGAAACGGGATTGTCTTCATATAAAATCTAGACAGAAGCATTCTCAGAAGCTTCATTGGGATGTTTCAATTGAAGTCACAGTGTTGAACAGTCCCTTTCATAGAGCAGGTTTGAAACACTCTTTTTGTAGTATCTGGATGTGGACATTTGGAGCGCTTTCAGGCCTATGGTTTAAAAGGAAATATCTTCCCCTGAAAACTAGACAAAAGCATTCTCAGAAACTTATTTGTGATGTGCGCCCTCAACTAACAATGTTGAAGCTTTCTTTTGATAGAGCAGTTTTGAAACACTCTTTTTGTGGAATCTGCAAGTGGATATTTGTCTAGCTTTGAGAATTTCGTTTGAAACGGGATTACACATAAAAAGCAGACAGCAGCATTCTCAGCAAACTTATTTGTGATGTGCGCCCTCAACTAACAGTGTGGAACTTTTCTTTTGATAGAGCAGTTTTGAAACACTCTTTTTGTAAAATCTGCAAGAGGATATTTGGATAGCTTTGAGGATTTCGTTGGAAACGGGATTGTCTTCATATAGAATCTAGACAGAAGCATTCTGAGAAGCTTCATTGGGATGTTTCAATTGAAGTCACAGTGTTGAACAGTCCCTTTCATAGAGCAGGTTTGAAACACTCTTTTTGTAGCATCTGGAAGTGGACATTTGGAGCGCTCTCAGGACTACGGTGAAAAAGGAAATATCTTCCAATAAAAGCTAGATAGAAGCAATGTCAGAAACTTTTTCAGGATGTATCTACTCAGCTAACAGTGTTGAACCTTTCTTTTGAGAGAGCAGTTTTGAAACACTCTTTTTGTGGAATCTGGAAGTGGATATTTGTCTAGCTTTGAGGATTTCGTTGGAAACGGGATTACATATAAAAAGCAGACAGCAGCATTCACAGAAATTTCTTTGTGATGTTTGCATTCAAGTCACAGAGTTGAACATTCCCTTTCTTAGAGCAGGTTTGAAACACTCTTTTTGTAGTATCTGGATGTGGACATTTGGAGCGCTTTCAGGCCTATGGTGAAAAAGGAAATATCTTCCCCTGAAAACTAGACAGAAGCATTCTCAGAATCTTATTTGTGATGTGCGCCCTCAACTAACAGTGTTGAAGCTTTCTTTTGATAGAGCAGTTTTGAAACACTCTTTTTGTAAAATCTGCAAGAGGATATTTGGATAGCTTTGAGGATTTCGTTGGAAACGGGATTGTCTTCATATAAACTCTAGACAGA